>NC_000023.11:2132994-2137388 GCF_000001405.40 Homo sapiens | reverse complement strand
TGATGATGATGATGGGAGAGGTTATGAAGATGGTGATCGTGATGATGATGATGGGAGAGGTTATGAAGATGGTGATCGTGATGATGATGATGGGAGAGGTTATGAAGATGGTGATCGTGATGATGATGATGGGGGAGGTAATGAAGATGGTGATGATGATGACGATGGTGAGGATGGTGATGATGATGATGGGAGAGGTAATAAAGATGGTGATCGTGATGATGATGGGGGAGGTAATGAAGATGGTGATGGTGATGATGATGATGGAGGTAATGAAGATGATGGTGATGATGATGGTGAGGATGGTGATGATGATGGTAGTGATAATGGAGATAATGGTGATGATGATGATGTTGGTAGTGATGATGATGATGATGGGAGAGGTAATGGAGATGATGGTGATGATGATGACAATGATGTTGATGGTGATAATGATGATACTTTCTGCTAAGCTCTGAGGCCCATCTGACTTGGAAAATAAAATCATGCATACTTTAGTTTTGGGCCATTCATACAAGATCTCCTTTGATTGGTCTTATTTCTATTTTTATTTTTTTTGGAGGCGGAGTTTTGCTCTTGTTGCCCAGGCTTAAGTGCAATGGCGCGATCTCAGCTCACTGCAACCTCCGCCTACTGGGTTCAACCGATTCTCCTACAGGCATGTACCACGACACCCAGGTAATTTTGTATTTTTAGTAGAAATGGGGTTTCTCCGTGTTGGTCAGGCTGGTCTCGAACTCCCAACCTCAGGTGATCTGCTTGCCTTGGCCTCCCAAAGTGCTGGGATGACAGGCGTGAGCCACCGCATCTGGCCTGGTTGGTCTTATTAAATAGGGTTTAAAAGTACACACTAGAGTCAGTTTTGGGCACCATGTAAAATGACCAGTGCTTGTCTTGTGGGGAGAATG
The DNA here is from genome assembly GCF_000001405.40 of Homo sapiens. NCBI lineage: Eukaryota > Metazoa > Chordata > Mammalia > Primates > Hominidae > Homo > Homo sapiens. The sequence goes on along the minus strand of NC_000023.11, from coordinate 2,136,480 downwards.
AAACAAATTGGTTAATCATTTATCCACTCATTTTTGTTTGACCAGTGTTTAGTGTGCATATCTTCAGTGTGAGAAGCTAGGGATATACAAATAAATGAGCAGGCAAGGTAATAGTCTACCATGCAATTGTGCTTTTTGAATGAATGAAGCCCATGGTTTCTTGAAAAAAGCTGATCCTGATAACACTGTGAGGTCTACATTTTAATCTATGTTATGGCTGTGGTGCTCTCATTCTTGCTGAGTTATTTCCTGGTAACACACATGCATATGTGCACATGCATTGATATTTCACACTGGCTTGGATCAATTATCTATGCTTGAACCAGAGTTGTAAGGGCAAGTTAGACTATCCTGAAGCCAGTGTCCCAAAGTAGACGTAAAACCTGGCACAACAGTGGACTTCTAGGTATTTTTATGGGATTTCTCTTTCTGCCTTCAAACCACAGCAGTCACTGGCTTCAGGCTGACAGGAGGGGAAAACATTCAATATACCTCTCTTAAGCTCTTACTCTTGGCCCACAAGCACGCCAGATTCCCCTATCTTCCAAGAGTTTGCTCTGACGTTGTTTCCCATTTATATCAGCCCCTTCTCTGCCCAGCTGCTTTAATGAATATGCCCCCTGTTTGCTTCTAATCCCTTGCTTTATGTTTCCTCTGGCTGTTCTTTTTAAGCATTTCATTTAAGTAATAATATTTGTGATGGTTAATTTTATGTGTCCACTTGGCTGGGCCACTGTGCCCAGATGTGTGGGTGAACGTCATCCTGGATGTTTCTGTGAATGTGTTTTTGGATGGGGTTGATATCAGTGACTTTGAGTCAAGATGACCCTCTCTCCATAATGTGGGTGGGCCTTGTCTAATCAGTTGAAGACATGAAAAGAACAAAATCTGACCTCCACAGAGCAAGAGGAAATTCTGCCAGGAGACAGCCTTCAAATTATTTTTAAAAACAGTTAAACCAGCTGGGCGTGGTGGCGTGCGCCTGTAATCCCAGCACTTTGGGAGGCCGAGGTGGGTGGATCATGAGGTCAGGAGATCGAGACCATCCTGGCTAACACAGTGAAACCCCGTCTCTACTAAAATACAAAAAAATTAGCCAGGCGTGGTGGTGCCCACTTGTAGTCCCAGATACTTGGGAGGCTGAGGCAGGGGAATCGCTTGAACCCAGGAGGCAGAGGTTACAGTGAGCCGAGATCACGCCACTGCACTCCAGCATGGGCATCAGAGTGAGACTCTGTCTCACACACACACACAAAAATAGTTAAACCATGGACATATTACATATGAAACAAGACCAATTATGTTGATTACTTCATTCCTATTAATTTTTTAGATAAACTAACCATGCAGTTGGCCAACAAAGGGAATAGTTGGGATAGGGCATTTACTCACAGGAAGAAGGACTTCCTTCTTCCTTCCTTCATTCTTCCTTCCTTTCTTTCTCCTTCCTTCTTTTCTTCCTTCCTTTCTTCTTTCTTTCTTCCTTTCTTCCTTCCTTTCTCCTCCCTCCCTTCCTTCCTTCCTTTCTTCCCTCCTCTTTCTTTCTTTCTTTCTCTCTTTCTCTCTCTCTCTTTCTTTCTTTCTTTCTTCTCTTTCTTTTCTTTTGTTTGTAGATCTTGGTTCTTGTTATGACTGGCACAACTACGTAGGAACAATCTGAATGGGAGATAGCTTTTTGTGGGACACCACAAGGAAATTGTATATTCTATGACACAAGCTCACAACTCCCTGCTTTCCACTGCAAGCGGTGGCTCATTACTGGCTGGGACGTATCCTTGGATTAATGTATGCACGCCTCTCTTCCTTGTTTCAGAGAACCATAACACCCTGAGTGCAGAACCCCTGTAATTAGAGCTGTCGTTGTTGCCTCCCCACAGCAAGAAAGCTTTTGCAAGTTTAATCTCATCACTGAGAAAGCTTTTAGAGACTTCAAAGAAAGTATTTGATGCTGGGCTTTTCCTTCCACCCAGTGAAAAATGTGTCGAAGGAAACGTAACTAAGTTTTAAATATTCCCCTCCTTTTTTGTGTGTGTGCGGTTTTGTCATTTATTGTGTAGCATAAGTCTACAACTGTTTATTTATTTTGTTGTTTGGTAATTATATTATTCCATAAGCCTTTTCACAATCAATGAGCTATAAAGATGAAAGTGTATCCAATAAAAACTAAGCTTCCTTAAAAAAAAAAAAATCTGACCTACTAGGTTTGTCTCTTAAAGACTATCCTCTCTTTTATTTTACTTGTTACTGCTTACTTGGCGATTTCTTTTGGAGAAGGTCTAGACTTGGTCAGATTGGATTTTAGAAATTGTACCATTTGATACTCCTTCTTCTCCTCTTCCTCCTTCTCCTTTTCCTTCTACTCCCTCTCTTTTTTCATCTTTTCTTGTTCTCCTTCTTCATTTACTATTTCTCCTCCTCCCACTGTCTGTCCTTGTCCTCCTCCTCCCTCCTCCTTCTACCCTCTCCTCCCCCTCCTCTTCCTCCTCCTCCCCTCTCTTCCTCCTCCTCCCTTCTCCTTCTCCTCCTCCTCCTCCTGTCTCCTCCTCCCCTCCCTCCTCCTCCCCTCTCCCCTCCTCCTCCTGTCTCCCCTCCTTCTCTCTCCTCCTCCCCCTCTTCCTCCTTCTCTCCTTTCCTCCTCCTCCTCCCCCTCTTCCTCCTTCTCTCCTTTCCTCCTCCTCCTCCCCCTCTCCCTCCTTCTCTCCTTTCCTCCTCCTCCTCCCATCTCCTCCTCCCCTCCTCCTCCTCTCCTTTTCTCTTCCTCCTCCCTCTCCTCCTCCTCCTTCTACCCTCTCCTACCACTTCTCTTTTTACTCCTCCTCCTTCTCCCCCTCCTCCTTCTCCTCCTCTTTCTTCCTCCCCTCTCCTCCTCCCCTGTCTTATTCCTTCTTCTCTCCCTCCTTCTCTCCACCTCTTTCCTTTCCCTGCTCAGCCACACACACATACACCATAGCTTCTGGCTGTCTTCCCTTTCCTTCCAGGTTCCAGTAAACATCCACTGATTCAAGAGAGAGGCTAAACAAGAACAATTTCTTTGAGCAACTTGGCCAGATGCTGAATTCTTAGTGGCTGATTCCCCTGGGACTCAGGTCCTTCCCCTACCTTCTGCACCTATCTTTTCCTGAGAAAACAGTCAGTGACCAGGCTCTGCTCTGCACGGAGCCCTCAGATAATGTCTGCTAAACGTCTCCTTGAGGAGTGTGATGTTGCAGGTGAATTCAGCATCTGGGAGGGTGAAGCGCGTGTGTCATTAAAATGCAGCCACATGGTGGTGGACCCTGGACCAGGACTAAAATAGCTCCTCGCTCTGCCCACTTTTTTTATCCTTTCCCTGGTGTGTTCCGGCTGGCAGTCCTCACCATACGCTAATCAGCAGGTCAGTTACACTGATGTCCAAAAACCTGGGCTTTGAGCGATGTACATGCTATGTGTGCATATATATATATATATATATATATATATATATATATATATATACATACACAGACA
>NC_000023.11:222346-226276 GCF_000001405.40 Homo sapiens | reverse complement strand
GGATGGCGCCGAGGGAAGGAGCTGTCTGGTGTGGTCCGGAGGACAGGAACAGTGGATCTGGGGGTGGTCCTGATGGGAGGAGCGGGGGTCTGGGGGTGGTCCCGAGGGGAAGCGTGGGGGTCTGTGGGTGGTCCTTAGGGGAGGAGCGGGGGTCTGGGGGTGGTCCTGTGGGGAGGAGCAGGGGGTTCTGGGGGCGGTCCTGATGGGAGGAGCGGGGGTCTGGGGGTGATCCCGAGGGGAAGCGTGGGGGTCTGTGGGTGGTCCTTAGGGGAGGAGCGGGGGTCTGGGGATGATCCTGAGGGGAGGAGCTGGGGTCTGGGGATGGCGCCGAGGGAAGGAGCTGTCCGGTGTGGTCCGGAGGACAGGAACAGTGGATCTGGGGGCGGTCCCGTGGGGAGGAGCAGGGAGTCTGGGGGTGGTTTTCAGGGATGGAGCATGGGGCCTCCCTGTGGTCCAGAGGGTGGAGCAGGGAGTCTGGGGGTGGTACTTATGGGCGGGACAGCACTATTTCTCTTTTTGGTCCGGTTCCCATCTGCTGATCTGGGGGTCCTTGTGATCCTGACAGGTGGGGCAGAATGGGAGGGTCAAGGTGAGGGGAAGGGATATTGACAGGAGGTCAGAACTTCAAGATCCTCTTGAATTTCAAGAACTACTTCCAAGCCTGGACAATATCGAGAGGCCTCATCTCTACAAAATAAAAATTAAGAAATTCGCTGGGTGCAATGGCACACTCCTGTAGTCCCACCTACTCTGGAGGCTGAGGAGGGAAGATAACTTGAGCCTGGGAGTCCGAGGCTGCAGTCAGCTGTGATCATGCCACTGCACTCCAGCCTGGGTGACAGAGCAAGACCCTGAAAAAAAAAAGGGAGGGAGGGAAGGAGGGAGGGAGGGAGGAAGGAAGGGAAGGGAGGGAGGAAGGAAGGAATGAAGGAAGAAAATGGCTTAAGCTCAGAGAGCTGTATGTGGCCCCCAGCTCCCACCCCCACCAGAGGGCCTGCAAACCCACGGAGGGGCAGGTTGTCTTGAGCTGGAACCACAGGGGCGGGGGGACCTCAACTGTAGGGGTTAGGGTTAGGGTTAGGCTTTGAGGTTTCGGGTTACAGAATATAGATGGGTTTGGTCCTGGGAAAATTCCAGGTTGAGTTTTGTAGTTGGGGGTTGGTCTCAGGTGAGATACGGCAGGTTTACTTGGGCCTGAAGAGCCGAGCTCCCCGAAAACGAAATTCCTGGCCCTTTTAAGGGTTTACGACTCTAAGGGGTTCACGTGAAAGGGTCGTGATAGATCGAGGAAGCATCGGAACGTGACTGGGGGCTACACGCATCAGATAACAGAACAGAAAGTTTTGCAGGGCTTCCTCATACAGTGTCTGGAATTTACAGATAACACAAGTAGTTTAGGTCAGGGGTTAATATTATTATTATTATTATTTTAACCACCAGTGCCGGGTGGTGCTGCCAAGGTCGTCTAGCTATTTATCTTACTTCTGTTTTTTTTATCTTTTTGCTTTCTCCCTTTTTCCCTGTTTCATAAACTAGAGAAGGGGGTGTGGGGAAGGGAAGGGCAGCAGAAGTGGCGGTCTCCTCCCTTAGGATTACAGGCACCCTGCGTTAACCTCAAAATTGTCTCAGTCCCAAAGAAGGGGCTAGATTTTCTTTTATACTTTTGTTTAGAAAGGGGAGTGGCGGTCTAGTTAAAAGAATTTTACATAAGTAAATCAGGCAAAATGTTAAAAGGATAAATGGTTACAGGAAAGTAAACAGTTCCAGGTGCAGGTGCTTTAAGACTATTACAAGGTGATAGACGCGGGTAATTGGGCGTTATCAATCGGACGAATTCCTGGGGACTGCGGATGTAGCTCGCCACAGTAGGTTGTCAGTTAATTGCATTCTCGGATGTCCTGGGAGTCAGCTTGCACGAGTTAAGTCTTTGAGGAAGGGGCTGCCAGTGAAAGAGCCAAGATGGAGTCTGTCCGGTTCTCTCAGTTAAGGGAGAGTCCTTTCAGGTGGAAAGAAGGCTAGGTGATTGAAGGAAAGGGAGAGTCTAAAAACAGGGTTAGCAAAAATGAGGTTGGGCATTACAGTTGTACCCTCCATCGCCTCTTCCAATCTCAAGCAATTCCATAACTTGGAAAACCTCAGGCAAGGACTTCCTGGAATATGTCCACTGTAACGACCAGGTTTTCCAGTGTGTTATCTACACCCTGTAACGCTGTTAGGTACATAATGTTTCAGCAATCTTTGTTCTTCACCAGCACTCTGAGTACATGAAAAAGGCCAAGATGCTTCTTCAGGGATGAATTTTGCTACTTTTTAAAGGAGACTTAAGAGGCACTTTTGGCACTCTAAGTCTTTCTTCAAATGATGAAATTTGTTACCTATTTAACTCATTGCTGTGACGCGTTTTCCAATTCTATGTTCCCTTGGTTTTTGTTGTATTTTTTTCTGCATGAACTCTACATCATTTACTCACTCTGAACGACAGAATAAAAGAAATTGGCCACCATATCATACTCGGAAGGACAATCATGGCCATGAGACACAAAGGACTCCCAGCCCTGGGCCCAGGCCCCCCTCACGCATGCAGCCATCGCGGCACTGTGCCTGAGTGGGCCATATGCATGGTGGGGACCCGATGCTGGGAGACACAGCTCAGGGCACAGGGGCCCCAAGAAGCCATAGCTGGGGAAAGCTCATTCCCGACAGGGCTCAGCTCCAACCTGAAACTAGAGTCCCACCCTGGGGTTTCCATGGTGGTGGTAAACCAACCACAGATTTTGGGGATATGACTGCTCCCTTTGCCACGATAGCTTCTTCCACGTGCCCCTGGCCTGATGACCAGACCACTAGAGAGGGGAGGCCCGAGTCCCAGGGATGGGTGGGTTGCAGGCAGAGCTGGGGCTGGATGGACGGTGAGTGGTGAGAGCTCAAGGTGCAGAAGGGGCTCCTGTCGGGGACTGGGTTAACAGGGACCGGGACAAATAGACGGGGACTCCCGAGATGAGAAAGACCTTTTCGTACAAAGTGTTTGCATCAGTACCTCACAATGAAAAGAATAAGATAAATAACAGTACAAAAAAGCAATCACCAGATCAGCTCAAGGCACTCTTTGAAGTCCCCCCTGTGTAGGGAAGTTGGAAGACATATCTGTGTGGCCCATAGAGAGTAGATCCCAAAGACAGAAGGCCCAAGTCCCTAAATCCCCACAGGGGAACTGTGTTACAGACCAGGAGCTCATGTACAGGGCTGTCCCAGGGCCCCTAAATTCCAGAAGGGAACTGGGTTAGAGWCCAGGGGCTSATGYAACGGGCTGTCCCTGGTCCCCTAAATCCCCACAGGGGAACTGGGTTAGAGATGAGGAGCTCATTTTCCGGGCTGTCCAGGTCCCCTAAATCCCAGATGGGAACTGGGTTATCRACCAGGTGCTCTTCTAGGGGTTGTCTCAGGGTCCTAGTGTGTCTGGAATTGGTGGGTTCTTGGTCTCACTGACTTCAAGAATGAAGACGCGGAACCTCGCGGTGAGTGTTACAGTTCTTAAAGGTGGCGCGTCCGGAGTTTGTTTCTTCTGATGTTCAGATGTGTTCTGAGTTTCTTCTTTCTGGTGGGGTTGTGGTCTCACTGGCTCAGGAGTGAAGCTGCAGACCTTTGCGGTGAGTGTCACAGCTCATAAAGGCAGTGTGGACCCAAAGAGTGAGCARTAGCAAGATTTATTGCAAAGAGTGAAAGAACGAAGCTTCCACAGTATGGAAAGGGACCCCATTGGGTTGCCACTGCTGGCTCAGGCAGTCTGCTTTTATTCTCTAATCTGCTCCCACCCACATCCTGCTGATAGGTCCACTTTCAGAGGGTTAGGGTTAGGGTTAGGGTTAGGGTTAGGGTTAGGGTTAGGGTTAGGGTTAGGGTTAGGGTTAGGGTTAGGGTTAGGGTTAGGGT
>NC_000023.11:94821-133871 GCF_000001405.40 Homo sapiens | reverse complement strand
CCTTTAGAGTCTGCATTAGGCCTATGTCTCATTGAGGACAGTTAGAGAGCAGACTGTGCTACCTTTAGAGTCTGCATTTGGCCTAGGTCTCATTGAGTACAGAAAGAGACCAGAGTGTGCAACCTTTAGAGTCTGCATTGGGCCTGGGTCTCATTGAGGACAGATAGAGAGGAGACTGTAGAACCTTTATAGTCTGCATTGGGCCTAGGTCTCATTGAGGTCAGATAGGGAGCAGACTGGGCAAGCTTTAGAGTCTGCACTTGGCCTAGGTCTCATTGAGGACAGATAGAGAACAGACTGTGCAACCTTTAGAGTCTGCATTGGGCCTAGGTCTCATTGAGGGCAGTTAGAGAGCAGACTGTGCAACCTTTAGAGTCTGCATTGGGCCTAGGTCTCATTGAGAGCAGATAGAGAGCACACTGTGCAACCTCTAGAGTCGGCATTGGGCCTAGGTCTCATTGAGGACAGATAGAGACCAGACTGTGCAAACTTTAGAGTCTGCATTGGGCCTAGGTCTCATTGAGGACAGATACAGGGCAGACTGTGCAACCTTTAGAGTCTGCATTGGGCCTAGGTCTCATTGAGGTCAGATAGAGAGCAGACTGTGCAACCTTTAGAGTCTGCACTGGGCCTAGGTCTCATTGAGGGCAGATAGAGACCATACTGTGCAACCTTTAGAGTCTGCATTGGGTCTAGGTCTCACTGAGGAGAGATAGAGAGCAGACTTTGCAAACTTTAGAGTCTGCATTAGGTCTAGGTCTCACTGAGGACTGATAGAGAGCAGATTATGCAACCTTTAGAGTCTGCACTGGCCCTAGGTCTCATTGAGGACAGATAGAGAGCAGACTGCGCAAACTTTAGAGTCTGCATTGGGCCTAGGTCTCATTGAGGACAGATAGAGAGCACACTGTGTAACCTTTAGAGTCTGCATAGGGCCTCGGTCTCATTGAGGACCGATAGAGAGCAGACTGTGCCACCTTTAGAGTCTGCATTGGGCCTGGGTCTCATTGAGGAGAAATAGAGAGCAGACTGTGCAACCTTTAGAGTCTGCATTGGGCCTAGGTCTCATTGAGGACAGATGGAGAGCAGACTGTGCAACCTTTAGAGTCTGCATTGGGCCTAGGTCTCATTGAGGGCACATAGAGAGCAGACTGTGCAACCTTTAGAGTCTGCATTGGGCCTAGGTCTCATTGAGAGAAGATAGAGAGCATACAGTGCAACCTTTAGAGTCGGCATTGGGCCTAGGTCTCATTGAGGGCACATAGAGAGCAGACTGTGCAACCTTTAGAGTCTGCATTGGGCCTAGGTCTCATTGAGAGAAGATAGAGAGCATACAGTGCAACCTTTAGAGTCGGCATTGGGCCTAGGTCTCATTGAGGACAGATAGAGACCAGACTGTGAAACCTTTAGAGTCTGCATTGGGCCTAGGTCTCATTGAGGACAGATAGAGAGCAGAGTAGGCAACCATTAGAGTCGGCACTGGTCCTAGGTCTCATTGAGGACAGATATAGAGCAGACTGTGCAACCTTTAGAGTCTGCATTGGGCCTGGGTCTCATTGAGGACAGATAGAGAGCAGACTGTGCAACCTTTAGAGGCTGCACTGGGCCTAGGTCTCATTGAGGACAGATAGAGGGCAGACTGTGCAACCTTTAGAGTCTGCATTGGGCCTAGGTCTCATTGAGGACCGATAGAGAGCAGACTGTGCAACCTTTAGAGTCTGCACTGGGCCTAGGTCTCATTGAGGGCAGATAGAGACCATACTGTGCAACCTTTAGAGTCTGCATTGGGCCTAGGTCTCACTGAGGAGAGATAGAGAGCACACTGTGTAACCTTTAGAGACTGCATAGGGCCTCGGTCTCATTGAGGACCGATAGAGAGCAGACTGTGCCACCTTTAGAGTCTGCATTGGGCCTGGGTCTCATTGAGGACAAATAGAGAGCAGACTGTGCAACCTTTAGAGTCTGCATTGGGCCTAGGTCTCATTGAGGACAGATGGAGAGCAGACTGTGCAACCTATAGAGTCTGCATTGGGCCTAGGTCTCATTGAGGACAGATGGAAAGCAGACTGTGCAACCTTTAGAGTCTGCATTGGACCTAGGTCTCATTGAGGACAGATAGAGAGCAGACTATGCAAACTTTAGAGGCTGGACTGAGCCTAGGTCTCATTGAGGACAGATAGAGAGCAGACTGTGCAACCTTTACAGTCTGCATTGGGCCTGGGCCTCATTCAGGACAGATAGAGACCAGACTGTGCAACCTTTAGAGTCTGCATTGGGCCTAGGTCTCATTGAGAGTAGATAGAGAGCAGACTGTGCAACCTTTAGAGTCTACATTGGGCCTAGGTCTCATTGAGGGCAGATAGAGAGCAGACTGTGCAACCTTTAGAGTCTGCACTTGGCCTAGGTCTCATTGAGGACACATAGAGAGCAGACTGTGCAACCTTTAGAGTCTGCATTGGGCCTAGGTCTCATTGAGGGCAGATAGAGAGCAGACTGTGCAAACTTTAGAGTTTGCATTGGGCCTAGGTCTCATTGAGGAGAGATAGAGAGCAGACTGTGCAACCTTTAGAGTCTGCATTGGGCCTAGGTCTCATTGAGGACAGATGGAGAGCACACTGTGCAACCTTTAGAGTCCGCATTGGGCCTAGGTCTCATTGAGGACAGATAGAGACCAGACTGTGCAACCTTTAGAGTTTGCATTGGGCCTAGGTCTCATTGAGGGCAGATAGAGAGCAGACTGTGCAACCTTTAGAGTCTGCATTGGGCCTAGGTCTCATTGAGGACCGATAGAGAGCAGACTGTGCAACCTTTAGACTCTGCATTGGGCCTGGGTCTCATTGAGGACAAATAGAGAACAGACTGTGCAACCTTTAGAGTCTGCATTGGGCCTAGGTATCAGTGAGGACAGATAGAGAGGAGACTGTGCAACCTTTAGAGTCTGCACTGGGCCTAGGTCTCTTTGAGGACAGACAGAGAGCAGACTGTGCAAACTTTAGAGTCTGCACTGGGCCTAGGTGTCATTGAGGACAGATAGAGACCAGACTGTGCAACCTTTAGAGTCTGCATTGGGCCTAGGTCTCCTTGAGGTCAGATAGACAGCAGAATCTGCAACCTTTAGAGTCTGCATTGGGCCTAGGTCTAATTGCGGACAGATAGACAGCAGACTGTGCAACGTTTAGAGTCTGCATTGGGCCTAGGTCTAATTGCGGACAGATAGAGAGCAGACTATGCAACGTTTAGAGTCTGCATTGGGCCTGGGTCTCATTGAGGACAGATAGAGAGCAGACTGTGCAACCTTTAGAGTCTCTATTGGGCCTAGGTCTCATTGAGGACAGATAGGGAGAGGACTGTGCAACCTTTAGAGTCTGCATTGGGCCTAGGTCTCATTGAGGGCAGATAGAGAGCAGGCTCGGGAACCCTTAGAGTCTGCATTGGGCCTAGATCTCATTGAGGACAGATAGAGAGCATACTATGCAACCTTTAGAGTCTGCACTGGGCCTAGGTCTCATTGAGGACACATAGAGAGCAGACTGTGCAACCTTTAGAGTCTGCATTGGGCCTATGTCTCATTGAGGACAGTTAGAGAGCAGGCTGTGCAACCTTTACAGTCTGCATTTGGCCTAGGTCTCATTGAGGACAGAAAGAGACCAGAGTGCGCAAACTTTAGAGTCTGCATTGGGCCTAGGTCTCATTGAGGACAGATAGAGAGCAGACTGTAGAACCTTTATAGTCTGCATTGGGCCTAGGTCTCATTGAGGTCAGATAGAGAGCAGACTGTGCAAGCTTTAGAGTCTGCACTTGGCCTAGGTCTCATTGAGGACAGATAGAGAACAGACTGTGCAACCTTTAGAGTCTGCATTGGGCCTAGGTCTCATTGAGGGCAGTTAGAGAGCAGACTGTGCAACCTTTAGAGTCTGCATTGGGCCTAGGTCTCATTGAGAGCAGATAGAGAGCACACTGTGCAACCTCTAGAGTCGGCATTGGGCCTAGGTCTCATTGAGGACAGATAGAGACCAGACTGTGCAAACTTTAGAGTCTGCATTGGGCCTAGGTCTCATTGAGGACAGATAGAGGGCAGACTGTGCAACCTTTAGAGTCTGCATTGAGCCTAGGTCTCATTGAGGACAGATAGAGAGCAGACTGTGCAACCTTTCGAGTCTGCACTGGGCCTAGGTCTCATTGAGGGCATATAGAGACCATACTGTGCAAACTTTAGAGTCTGCATTGGGTCTAGGTCTCACTGAGGAGAGATAGAGAGCAGACTTTGCAAACTTTAGAGTCTGCATTAGGTCTAGGTCTCACTGAGGACTGATAGAGAGCAGACTATGCAACTTTAGAGTCTGCACTGGCCCTAGGTCTCATTGAGGACAGATAGAGAGCAGACTGCGCAAACTTTAGAGTCTGCATTGGGTCTAGGTCTCATTGAGGACAGATAGAGAGCACACTGTGTAACCTTTAGAGTCTGCATAGAGCCTCGGTCTCATTGAGGACCGATAGAGAGCAGACTGTGCCACCTTTAGAGTCTGCATTGGGCCTGGGTCTCACTGAGGAGAAATAGAGAGCAGACTGTGCAACCTTTAGAGTCTGCATTGGGCCTAGGTCTCATTGAGGACAGATGGAGAGCAGACTGTGCAACCTTTAGAGTCTGCATTGGGCCTAGGTCTCATTGAGGGCAGATAGAGAGCAGACTGTGCAACCTTTAGAGTCTGCATTGGGCCTAGGTCTCATTGAGAGCAGATAGAGAGCATACTGTGCAACCTTTAGAGTCGGCATTGGGCCTAGGTCTCATTGAGGACAGATAGAGACCAGACTGTGCAACCTTTAGAGTCTGCATTGGGCCTAGGTCTCATTGAGGACAGATAGAGAGCAGACTATGCAACCATTAGAGTCGACACTGGTCCTAGGTCTCATTGAGGACAGATATAGAGCAGACTGTGCAACCTTTAGAGTCTGCATTGTGCCTGGGTCTCATTGAGGACAGATAGAGAGCAGACTAGGCAACCATTAGAGTCGACACTGGTCCTAGGTCTAATTGAGGACAGATATAGTGCAGACTGTGCAACCTTTAGAGTCTGCATTGGGCCTGGGTCTTATTGAGGACAGATAGAGACCAGACTGTGCAACCTTTAGAGTCTGCACTGGGCCTAGGTCTCATTGAGGACAGATAGAGGGCAGACTGTGCAACCTTTAGAGTCTGCATTGGGCCTAGGTCTCATTGAGGACAGATAGAGAGCAGACTGTGCAACCTTTAGAGTCTGCACTGGGCCTAGGTCTCATTGAGGGCAGATAGAGACCATACTGTGCAACCTTTAGAATCTGCATTGGGTCTAGGTCTCACTGAGGAGAGATAGAGAGCAGACTTTGCAAACTTTAGAGTCTGCATTGGGTCTAGGTCTCACTGAGGACTGATAGAGAGCAGACTATGCAACCTTTAGAGTCTGCACTGGCACTAGGTCTCATTGAGGACAGATACAGAGCAGACTGCGCAAACTTTAGAGTCTGCATTGGGCCTAGGTCTCATTGAGGACAGATAGAGAGCACACTGTGTAACCTTTAGAGTCTGCATAGGGCCTCGGTCTCTATGAGGACCGATAGAGAGCAGACTGTGCAACCTTTAGAGTCTGCATTGGGCCTGGGTCTCATTGAGGACAAATAGAGAGCAGACTGTGCAACCTTTAGAGTCTGCATTGGGCCTAGGTCTCATTGAGGAGAGATGGAGAGCAGACTGTGCAACCTTTAGAGTCTGCATTGGGCCTAGGTCTCATTGAGAGCAGATAGAGAGCAGAGTGTGCAACCTTTAGAGTCTGCATTGGGCCTAGGTCTCATTGAGGGCAGATAGAGACCAGACTGTGCAACCTTTAGAGTCTGCATTGGGCCTAGGTCTCATTGAGGACAGATAGAGGGCAGACTGTGCAACCTTTAGAGTCTGCATTGGGCCTAGGTCTCATTGAGGACAGATAGAGAGCAGACTTTGCAAACTTTAGAGTCTGCACTGGGCCTAGGTCTCATTGAGGGCATATAGAGACCATACTGTGCAAACTTTAGAGTCTGCATTGGGTCTAGGTCTCACTGAGGAGAGATAGAGAGCAGACTTTGCAAACTTCAGAGTCTGCATTAGGTCTAGGTCTCACTGAGGACTGATAGAGAGCAGACTATGCAACTTTAGAGTCTGCCTGGCCCTAGGTCTCATTGAGGACAGATAGAGAGCAGACTGCGCAAACTTTAGAGTCTGCATTGGGCCTAGGTCTCACTGAGGACAGATAGAGAGCACACTGTGTAACCTTTAGAGTTTGCATAGGGCCTCGGTCTCATTGAGGACCGATAGAGAGCAGACTGTGCAACCTTTAGAGTCTGCATTGGGCCTGGGTCTCATTGAGGAAAAATAGAGAGCAGACTGTGCAACCTTTAGAGTCTGCATTGGGCCTAGGTCTCATTGAGGGCAGATAGAGAGCAGACTGTGCAACCTTTAGAGTCTGCACTAGGGCTAGGTCTCATCGAGGACAGATAGAGAGCAGACTGTGCAACATTTAGAGTCTGCATTGGACCTAGGTCTCACTGAGGACAGATAGAGAGCAGACTATGCAAACTTTACAGTCTGCACTGGGCCTAGGTCTCATTGAGGACAGATAGAGAGCAGACTGTGCAACCTTTACAGTCTGCATTGGGCCTGGGTCTCATTCAGGAGAGATAGAGACCAGAATGTGCAACCTTTAGAGTTTGCATTGGGCCTAGGTCTCTTGAGAGCAGATAGAGAGCAGACTGTGCAACCTTTACAGTCTGCATTGGGCCTAGGTCTCATTGAGGGCCGATAGAGAGCAGACTGTGCAAACTTTAGAGTCTGCACTGGGCCTAGGTCTGATTGAGGACACATAGAGAGCAGACTGTGCAACCTTTAGAGTCTGCATTTGGCCTAGGTCTCATTGAGGACAGATGGAGAGCACACTGTGCAACCTTTAGAGTCCGCATTGGGCCTAGGTCTCATTGAGGACAGATAGAGACCAGACTGTGCAACCTTTAGAGTTTGCATTGGGCCTAGGTCTCATTGAGGGCAGATAGAGAGCAGACTGTGCAACCTTTAGAGTCTGCATTGGGCCTAGGTCTCATTGAGGACCGATAGAGAGCAGACTGTGCAACCTTTAGACTCTGCATTGGGCCTGGGTCTCATTGAGGACAAATAGAGAACAGACTGTGCAACCTTTAGAGTCTGCATTGGGCCTAGGTATCAGTGAGGACAGATAGAGAGGAGACTGTGCAACCTTTAGAGTCTGCACTGGGCCTAGGTCTCTTTGAGGACAGACAGAGAGCAGACTGTGCAAACTTTAGAGTCTGCACTGGGCCTAGGTGTCATTGAGGACAGATAGAGACCAGACTGTGCAACCTTTAGAGTCTGCATTGGGCCTAGGTCTCCTTGAGGTCAGATAGACAGCAGAATCTGCAACCTTTAGAGTCTGCATTGGGCCTAGGTCTAATTGCGGACAGATAGACAGCAGACTGTGCAACGTTTAGAGTCTGCATTGGGCCTAGGTCTAATTGCGGACAGATAGAGAGCAGACTATGCAACGTTTAGAGTCTGCATTGGGCCTGGGTCTCATTGAGGACAGATAGAGAGCAGACTGTGCAACCTTTAGAGTCTCTATTGGGCCTAGGTCTCATTGAGGACAGATAGGGAGAGGACTGTGCAACCTTTAGAGTCTGCATTGGGCCTAGGTCTCATTGAGGGCAGATAGAGAGCAGGCTCGGGAACCCTTAGAGTCTGCATTGGGCCTAGATCTCATTGAGGACAGATAGAGAGCATACTATGCAACCTTTAGAGTCTGCACTGGGCCTAGGTCTCATTGAGGACACATAGAGAGCAGACTGTGCAACCTTTAGAGTCTGCATTGGGCCTATGTCTCATTGAGGACAGTTAGAGAGCAGGCTGTGCAACCTTTACAGTCTGCATTTGGCCTAGGTCTCATTGAGGACAGAAAGAGACCAGAGTGCGCAAACTTTAGAGTCTGCATTGGGCCTAGGTCTCATTGAGGACAGATAGAGAGCAGACTGTAGAACCTTTATAGTCTGCATTGGGCCTAGGTCTCATTGAGGTCAGATAGAGAGCAGACTGTGCAAGCTTTAGAGTCTGCACTTGGCCTAGGTCTCATTGAGGACAGATAGAGAACAGACTGTGCAACCTTTAGAGTCTGCATTGGGCCTAGGTCTCATTGAGGGCAGTTAGAGAGCAGACTGTGCAACCTTTAGAGTCTGCATTGGGCCTAGGTCTCATTGAGAGCAGATAGAGAGCACACTGTGCAACCTCTAGAGTCGGCATTGGGCCTAGGTCTCATTGAGGACAGATAGAGACCAGACTGTGCAAACTTTAGAGTCTGCATTGGGCCTAGGTCTCATTGAGGACAGATAGAGGGCAGACTGTGCAACCTTTAGAGTCTGCATTGAGCCTAGGTCTCATTGAGGACAGATAGAGAGCAGACTGTGCAACCTTTCGAGTCTGCACTGGGCCTAGGTCTCATTGAGGGCATATAGAGACCATACTGTGCAAACTTTAGAGTCTGCATTGGGTCTAGGTCTCACTGAGGAGAGATAGAGAGCAGACTTTGCAAACTTTAGAGTCTGCATTAGGTCTAGGTCTCACTGAGGACTGATAGAGAGCAGACTATGCAACTTTAGAGTCTGCACTGGCCCTAGGTCTCATTGAGGACAGATAGAGAGCAGACTGCGCAAACTTTAGAGTCTGCATTGGGTCTAGGTCTCATTGAGGACAGATAGAGAGCACACTGTGTAACCTTTAGAGTCTGCATAGAGCCTCGGTCTCATTGAGGACCGATAGAGAGCAGACTGTGCCACCTTTAGAGTCTGCATTGGGCCTGGGTCTCACTGAGGAGAAATAGAGAGCAGACTGTGCAACCTTTAGAGTCTGCATTGGGCCTAGGTCTCATTGAGGACAGATGGAGAGCAGACTGTGCAACCTTTAGAGTCTGCATTGGGCCTAGGTCTCATTGAGGGCAGATAGAGAGCAGACTGTGCAACCTTTAGAGTCTGCATTGGGCCTAGGTCTCATTGAGAGCAGATAGAGAGCATACTGTGCAACCTTTAGAGTCGGCATTGGGCCTAGGTCTCATTGAGGACAGATAGAGACCAGACTGTGCAACCTTTAGAGTCTGCATTGGGCCTAGGTCTCATTGAGGACAGATAGAGAGCAGACTATGCAACCATTAGAGTCGACACTGGTCCTAGGTCTCATTGAGGACAGATATAGAGCAGACTGTGCAACCTTTAGAGTCTGCATTGTGCCTGGGTCTCATTGAGGACAGATAGAGAGCAGACTAGGCAACCATTAGAGTCGACACTGGTCCTAGGTCTAATTGAGGACAGATATAGTGCAGACTGTGCAACCTTTAGAGTCTGCATTGGGCCTGGGTCTTATTGAGGACAGATAGAGACCAGACTGTGCAACCTTTAGAGTCTGCACTGGGCCTAGGTCTCATTGAGGACAGATAGAGGGCAGACTGTGCAACCTTTAGAGTCTGCATTGGGCCTAGGTCTCATTGAGGACAGATAGAGAGCAGACTGTGCAACCTTTAGAGTCTGCACTGGGCCTAGGTCTCATTGAGGGCAGATAGAGACCATACTGTGCAACCTTTAGAATCTGCATTGGGTCTAGGTCTCACTGAGGAGAGATAGAGAGCAGACTTTGCAAACTTTAGAGTCTGCATTGGGTCTAGGTCTCACTGAGGACTGATAGAGAGCAGACTATGCAACCTTTAGAGTCTGCACTGGCACTAGGTCTCATTGAGGACAGATACAGAGCAGACTGCGCAAACTTTAGAGTCTGCATTGGGCCTAGGTCTCATTGAGGACAGATAGAGAGCACACTGTGTAACCTTTAGAGTCTGCATAGGGCCTCGGTCTCTATGAGGACCGATAGAGAGCAGACTGTGCAACCTTTAGAGTCTGCATTGGGCCTGGGTCTCATTGAGGACAAATAGAGAGCAGACTGTGCAACCTTTAGAGTCTGCATTGGGCCTAGGTCTCATTGAGGAGAGATGGAGAGCAGACTGTGCAACCTTTAGAGTCTGCATTGGGCCTAGGTCTCATTGAGAGCAGATAGAGAGCAGAGTGTGCAACCTTTAGAGTCTGCATTGGGCCTAGGTCTCATTGAGGGCAGATAGAGACCAGACTGTGCAACCTTTAGAGTCTGCATTGGGCCTAGGTCTCATTGAGAGCAGATAGAGAGCAGACTGTGCAACCTTTAGAGTCTGCATTGGGCCTAGGTCTCATTGAGGACAGATGGAGAGCACACTGTGCAACCTTTAGAGTCCGCATTGGGCCTAGGTGTCATTGAGGACAGATAGAGACCAGACTGTGCAACCTTTAGAGTCTGCATTGGGCCTAGGTCTCCTTGAGGTCAGATAGACAGCAGACTCTGCAACCTTTAGAGTCTGCATTGGGCCTAGGTCTAATTGCGGACAGATAGACAGCAGACTGTGCAACGTTTAGAGTCTGCATTGGGCCTAGGTCTAATTGCGGACAGATAGAGAGCAGACTATGCAACGTTTAGAGTCTGCATTGGGCCTGGGTCTCATTGAGGACAGATAGAGAGCAGACTGTGCAACCTTTAGAGTCTCTATTGGGCCTAGGTCTCATTGAGGACAGATAGGGAGCGGACTGTGCAACCTTTAGAGTCTGCATTGGGCCTAGGTCTCATTGACGGCAGACAGAGAGCAGGCTCGGCAACCCTTAGAGTCTGCATTGGGCCTAGATCTCATTGAGGACAGATAGAGAGCATACTATGCAACCTTTAGAGTCTGCACTGGGCTTAGTTCTCATTGAGGAAACATAGAGAGCAGACTGTGCAACCTTTAGAGTCTGCATTAGGCCTATGTCTCATTGAGGACAGTTAGAGAGCAGACTGTGCTACCTTTAGAGTCTGCATTTGGCCTAGGTCTCATTGAGTACAGAAAGAGACCAGAGTGTGCAACCTTTAGAGTCTGCATTGGGCCTGGGTCTCATTGAGGACAGATAGAGAGGAGACTGTAGAACCTTTATAGTCTGCATTGGGCCTAGGTCTCATTGAGGTCAGATAGGGAGCAGACTGGGCAAGCTTTAGAGTCTGCACTTGGCCTAGGTCTCATTGAGGACAGATAGAGAACAGACTGTGCAACCTTTAGAGTCTGCATTGGGCCTAGGTCTCATTGAGGGCAGTTAGAGAGCAGACTGTGCAACCTTTAGAGTCTGCATTGGGCCTAGGTCTCATTGAGAGCAGATAGAGAGCACACTGTGCAACCTCTAGAGTCGGCATTGGGCCTAGGTCTCATTGAGGACAGATAGAGACCAGACTGTGCAAACTTTAGAGTCTGCATTGGGCCTAGGTCTCATTGAGGACAGATGGAGAGCAGACTGTGCAACCTTTAGAGTCTGCATTGGGCCTAGGTCTCATTGAGGGCACATAGAGAGCAGACTGTGCAACCTTTAGAGTCTGCATTGGGCCTAGGTCTCATTGAGAGAAGATAGAGAGCATACAGTGCAACCTTTAGAGTCGGCATTGGGCCTAGGTCTCATTGAGGGCACATAGAGAGCAGACTGTGCAACCTTTAGAGTCTGCATTGGGCCTAGGTCTCATTGAGAGAAGATAGAGAGCATACAGTGCAACCTTTAGAGTCGGCATTGGGCCTAGGTCTCATTGAGGACAGATAGAGACCAGACTGTGAAACCTTTAGAGTCTGCATTGGGCCTAGGTCTCATTGAGGACAGATAGAGAGCAGAGTAGGCAACCATTAGAGTCGGCACTGGTCCTAGGTCTCATTGAGGACAGATATAGAGCAGACTGTGCAACCTTTAGAGTCTGCATTGGGCCTGGGTCTCATTGAGGACAGATAGAGAGCAGACTGTGCAACCTTTAGAGGCTGCACTGGGCCTAGGTCTCATTGAGGACAGATAGAGGGCAGACTGTGCAACCTTTAGAGTCTGCATTGGGCCTAGGTCTCATTGAGGACCGATAGAGAGCAGACTGTGCAACCTTTAGAGTCTGCACTGGGCCTAGGTCTCATTGAGGGCAGATAGAGACCATACTGTGCAACCTTTAGAGTCTGCATTGGGCCTAGGTCTCACTGAGGAGAGATAGAGAGCACACTGTGTAACCTTTAGAGACTGCATAGGGCCTCGGTCTCATTGAGGACCGATAGAGAGCAGACTGTGCCACCTTTAGAGTCTGCATTGGGCCTGGGTCTCATTGAGGACAAATAGAGAGCAGACTGTGCAACCTTTAGAGTCTGCATTGGGCCTAGGTCTCATTGAGGACAGATGGAGAGCAGACTGTGCAACCTATAGAGTCTGCATTGGGCCTAGGTCTCATTGAGGACAGATGGAAAGCAGACTGTGCAACCTTTAGAGTCTGCATTGGACCTAGGTCTCATTGAGGACAGATAGAGAGCAGACTATGCAAACTTTAGAGGCTGGACTGAGCCTAGGTCTCATTGAGGACAGATAGAGAGCAGACTGTGCAACCTTTACAGTCTGCATTGGGCCTGGGCCTCATTCAGGACAGATAGAGACCAGACTGCGCAACCTTTAGAGTCTGCATTGGGCCTAGGTCTCATTGAGAGTAGATAGAGAGCAGACTGTGCAACCTTTAGAGTCTACATTGGGCCTAGGTCTCATTGAGGGCAGATGGAGAGCAGACTGTGCAACCTTTAGAGTCTGCACTTGGCCTAGGTCTCATTGAGGACACATAGAGAGCAGACTGTGCAACCTTTAGAGTCTGCATTGGGCCTAGGTCTCATTGAGGGCAGATAGAGAGCAGACTGTGCAAACTTTAGAGTTTGCATTGGGCCTAGGTCTCATTGAGGAGAGATAGAGAGCAGACTGTGCAACCTTTAGAGTCTGCATTGGGCCTAGGTCTCATTGAGGACAGATGGAGAGCACACTGTGCAACCTTTAGAGTCCGCATTGGGCCTAGGTCTCATTGAGGACAGATAGAGACCAGACTGTGCAACCTTTAGTGTTTGCATTGGGCCTAGGTCTCATTGAGGGCAGATAGAGAGCAGAATGTGCAACCCTTAGAGTCTGCATTGGGCCTAGGTCTCATTGAGGACAGATAGAGAGCAGACTGTGCAACCTTTAGAGTCTGCACTGGGCCTAGGTCTCTTTGAGGACAGACAGAGAGCAGACTGTGCAAACTTTAGAGTCTGCACTGGGCCTAGGTCTCATTGAGGACACATAGAGAGCAGACTGTGCAACCTTTAGAGTCTGCATTGGGCCTATGTCTCATTGAGGACAGTTAGAGAGCAGACTGTGCAAACTTTAGAGTCTGCATTTGGCCTACGTCTCATTGAGGACAAAAAGAGACCAGAGTGTGCAACCTTTAGAGTCGGCATTGGGACTCGGTCTCATTGAGGACAGATAGAGAGCAGACTGTAGAACCTTCATAGTCTGCATTGGGCCTAGGTCTCATTGAGGTCAGATAGAGAGCAGACTGTGCAAGCTTTAGAGTCTGCACTTGGCCTAGGTCTCATTGAGGACAGATAGAGAGCAGACTGTGCAAACTTTAGAGTCTGCATTGGGCCTAGGTCTCATTGAGGGCAGATAGAGACCAGACTATGCAACGTTTAGAGTCTGCATTGGGCCTAGGTGTCATTGAGGGCAGTTAGAGAGCAGACTGTGCAACCTTTAGAATCTGCATTGGGCCTAGGTCTCATTGAGAGCAGATAGAGAGCACACTGTGCAAACTTTAGAGTCGGCATTGGGCCTAGGTCTCATTGAGGACAGATAGAGACCGGACTGTGCAACCTTTAGAGTCTGCATTGGGCCTAGGTCTCATTGAGGACAGATAGAGAGCACACTAGGCAACCATTAGAGTCCGCACTGGTCCTAGGTCTCATTGAGGACAGATATAGAGCAGACTGTGCAACCTTTAGAGTCTGCATTGGGCCTGGGTCTCATTGAGGACAGATAGCGACCAGACTGTACAACCTTTAGAGTCTGCATTGGGCTTAGGTCTCATTGAGGGCAGTTAGAGAGCAGACTGTGCAACCTTTAGAGTCTGCATTGGGCCTAGGTCTCATTGAGAGCAGATAGAGAGCACACTGTGCAACCTCTAGAGTCGGCATTGGGCCTAGGTCTCATTGAGGACAGATAGAGACCAGACTGTTGAAACTTTAGAGGCTGCATTGGGCCTAGGTCTCATTGAGGACAGATAGAGGGCAGACTGTGCAACCTTTAGAGTCTGCAATGGACCTAGGTCTCATTGAGGACAGATACGGAGCAGACTGTGCAAACTTTAAAGTCTGCACTGAGCCTAGGTCTCATTGAGGGCAGATAGAGACCAGACTGTGCAACCTTTAGAGTCTGCATTGGGTCTAGGTCTCACTGAGGCGAGATAGAGAGCAGACTTTGCAAACTTTAGAGTCTCCATTGGGTCTAGGTCTCACTGAGGACTGATAGGAGCAGACTATGCAACCTTTAGAGTCTGCACTGGCCCTAGGTCTCATTGAGGACAGATAGAGAGCAGACTGCGCAAACTTTAGAGTCTGCATTGGGCCTAGGTCTCACTGAGGACAGATAGAGAGCACACTGTGTAACCTTTAGAGTCTGCATAGAGCCTCGGTCTCATTGAGGACAGATAGAGAGCAGACTGTGCAACCTTTAGAGTCTCTATTGGGCCTAGATCTCATTGAGGACAGATAGGGAGCGGACTGTGCAACCTTTAGAGTCTGCATTGGGCCTAGGTCTCATTGAGGGCAGATAGAGAGCAGGCTCGGCAACCCTTAGAGTCTGCATTGGGCCTAGATCTTATTGAGGACAGATAGAGAGCATACTATGCAACCTTGAGAGTCTGCACTGGGCCTAGGTCTCATTGAGGACACATAGAGAGCAGACTGTGCAACCTTTAGAGTCTGCATTGGGCCTATGTCTCATTGAGGACAGTTAGAGAGCAGACTGTGCAACCTTTAGAGTCTGCATTTGGCCTAGGTCTCATTGAGGACAGAAAGAGACCAGAGTGTGCAACCTTTAGAGTTTGCATTGGGCCTAGGTCTCATTGAGGACAGATAGAGAGCAGACTGTAGAACCTTTATAGTCTGCATTGGGCCTAGGTCTCATTGAGGTCAGATAGAGAGCAGACTGTGCAAGCTTTAGAGTCTACACTTGGCCTAGGTCTCATTGAGGACAGATAGAGAACAGACTGTGCAAACTTTAGAGTCTGCATTGGGCCTAGGTCTCATTGAGGGCAGTTAGAGAGCAGACTGTGCAACCTTTAGAGTCTGCATTGGGCCTAGGTCTCATTGAGAGCAGATAGAGAGCACACTGTGCAACCTCTAGAGTCGGCATTGGGCCTAGGTCTCATTGAGGACAGATAGAGACCAGACTGTGCAAACTTTAGAGTCTGCATTGGGCCTAGGTCTCATTGAGGACAGATAGAGGGCAGACTGTGCAACGTTTAGAGTCTGCATTGGGCCTAGGTCTCATTGAGGACAGATAGAGAGCAGACTGTGAAACCTTTAGAGTCTGCACTGGGCCTAGGTCTCATTGAGGGCAGATAGAGACCATACTGTGCAACCTTTAGAGTCTGCATTGGGTCTAGGTCTCACTGAGGAGAGATAGAGAGCAGACTTTGCAAACTTTAGAGTCTACATTAGGTCTACGTCTCACTGAGGACTGATAGAGAGCAGACTATGCAACCTTTAGAGTCTGCACTGGCCCTAGGTCTCATTGAGGACACATAGAGAGCAGACTGCGCAAACTTTAGAGTTTGCATTGGGCCTAGGTCTCACTGAGGACAGATAGAGAGCACACTGTGTAACCTTTAGAGTCTGCGTAGGGCCTCGGTCTCATTGAGGACCGATAGAGAGCAGACTGTGCCACCTTTAGAGTCTGCATTGGGCCTGGGTCTCATGGAGGAGAAATAGAGAGCAGACTGTGCAACCTTTAGAGTCTGCATTGGGCCTAGGTCTCATTGAGGACAGATGGAGAGCAGACTGTGCAACCTTTAGAGTCTGCATTGGGTCTATGTCTCATTGAGGGCAGATAGAGACCAGACTGTGCAACCTTTAGAGTTTGCATTGGGCCTAGGTCTCATTGAGGGCAGATAGAGAGCAGACTGTGCCACCTTTAGAGTCTACATTGGGCCTAGGTCTCATTGAGGACAGATAGAGAGCAGACTGTGCAACCTTTATAGTCTGCACTGGGCCTAGGTCTCTTTGAGGACAGACAGAGAGCAGACTGTGCAAACTTTAGAGTCTGCACTGGGCCTAGGTGTCATTGAGGACAGATAGAGACCAGACTGTGCAACCTTTAGAGTCTGCATTGGGCCTAGGTCTCCTTGAGGTCAGATAGGCAGCAGACTGTGCAACCTTTAGAGTCTGCATTGGGTCTAGGTCTAATTGCGGACAGATGGAGAGCAGACTATGCAAAGTTTACAGTCTGCATTGGGCCTGGGTCTCATTGAGGACAGATAGAGAGCAGACTGTGCAACCTTTAGAGTCTCTATTGGGCCTAGGTCTCATTGAGGACAGATAGAGAGCAGACTGTGCAACCTTTAGAGTCTGCATTGGGCCTAGGTCTCATTGAGGGCAGATAGAGAGCAGGCTCGGCAACCCTTAGAGTCTGCGTTGGGCTTAGATCTCATTGAGGACAGATAGAGAGCATACTATGCAACCTTTAGAGTCTGCACTGGGCCTAGGTCTCATTGAGGACACATAGAGAGCAGACTGTGGAACCTTTAGAGTCTGCATTGGGCCTATGTCTCAATGAGGACAGTTAGAGAGCAGACTGTGCAACCTTTAGAGTCTGCATTGGGCCTAGGTCTCATTGAGGACAGATAGAGAGCAGACTGTAGAACCTTTATAGTCTGCATTGGGCCTAGGTCTCATTGAGGTCAGATAGAGAGCAGACTGTGCAAGCTTTAGAGTCTGCACTTGGCCTAGGTCTCATTGAGGACAGATAGAGAGCAGACTGTGCAACCTTTAGAGTCTGCATTGGGCCTAGGTCTTATTGAGGGCAGATAGAGACCAGACTATGCAACGTTTAGAGTCTGCATTGGGCCTAGGTGTCATTGAGGGCAGTTAGAGAGCAGACTGTGCTACCTTTAGAGTCTGCATTAGGCCTAGGTCTCATTGAGAGCAGATAGAGAGCACACTGTGCAAACTTTAGAGTCGGCATTGGGCCTAGGTCTCATTGAGGACAGATAGAGACCGGACTGTGCAACCTTTAGAGTCTGCATTGGGCCTAGGTCTCATTGAGGACAGATAAAGAGCAGACTAGGCAACCATTAGAGTCGGCACTGGTCCTAAGTCTCATTGAGGACAGATATAGAGGAGACTGTGTAACCTTTAGAGTCTGCATTGGGCCTGGGTCTCATTGAGGACAGATAGAGAACAGACTGTGCAACCTTTAGAGTCTGCATTGGGTCTAGGTCTCATTGAGGGCAGTTAGAGAGCAGACTGTGCCACCTTTAGAGTCTGCATTGGGCCTAGGTCTCATCGACAGCAGATAGAGAGCACACTGTGCAACCTCTAGAGTCGGCATTGGGCCTAGGTCTCATTGAGGACAGATAGAGACCAGACTGTTAAAACTTTAGAGTCTGCATTGGGCCTAGGTCTAATTGAGGACAGATAGAGGGCAGACTGTGCAACCTTTAGAGTCTGCATTGGGCCTAGGTCTCATTGAGGGCAGATAGAGAGCAGGCTCGGGAACCCTTAGAGTCTGCATTGGGCCTAGATCTCATTGAGGACAGATAGAGAGCATACTATGCAACCTTTAGAGTCTGCATTGGGCCTAGGTCTCATTGAGAGCACATAGAGAGCAGACTGTGCAACCTTTAGAGTCTGCATTGGGCCTATGTCTCATTGAGGACAGTTAGAGAGCAGGCTGTGCAACCTTTACAGTCTGCATTTGGCCTAGGTCTCATTGAGGACAGAAAGAGACCAGAGTGCGCAAACTTTAGAGTCTGCATTGGGCCTAGGTCTCATTGAGGACAGATAGAGAGCAGACTGTAGAACCTTTATAGTCTGCATTGGGCCTAGGTCTCATTGAGGTCAGATAGAGAGCAGACTGTGCAAGCTTTAGAGTCTGCACTTGGCCTAGGTCTCATTGAGGACAGATAGAGAACAGACTGTGCAACCTTTAGAGTCTGCATTGGGCCTAGGTCTCATTGAGGGCAGTTAGAGAGCAGACTGTGCAACCTTTAGAGTCTGCATTGGGCCTAGGTCTCATTGAGAGCAGATAGAGAGCACACTGTGCAACCTCTAGAGTCGGCATTGGGCCTAGGTCTCATTGAGGACAGATAGAGACCAGACTGTGCAAACTTTAGAGTCTGCATTGGGCCTAGGTCTCATTGAGGACAGATAGAGGGCAGACTGTGCAACCTTTAGAGTCTGCATTGAGCCTAGGTCTCATTGAGGACAGATAGAGAGCAGACTGTGCAACCTTTCGAGTCTGCACTGGGCCTAGGTCTCATTGAGGGCATATAGAGACCATACTGTGCAAACTTTAGAGTCTGCATTGGGTCTAGGTCTCACTGAGGAGAGATAGAGAGCAGACTTTGCAAACTTTAGAGTCTGCATTAGGTCTAGGTCTCACTGAGGACTGATAGAGAGCAGACTATGCAACTTTAGAGTCTGCACTGGCCCTAGGTCTCATTGAGGACAGATAGAGAGCAGACTGCGCAAACTTTAGAGTCTGCATTGGGTCTAGGTCTCATTGAGGACAGATAGAGAGCACACTGTGTAACCTTTAGAGTCTGCATAGAGCCTCGGTCTCATTGAGGACCGATAGAGAGCAGACTGTGCCACCTTTAGAGTCTGCATTGGGCCTGGGTCTCACTGAGGAGAAATAGAGAGCAGACTGTGCAACCTTTAGAGTCTGCATTGGGCCTAGGTCTCATTGAGGACAGATGGAGAGCAGACTGTGCAACCTTTAGAGTCTGCATTGGGCCTAGGTCTCATTGAGGGCAGATAGAGAGCAGACTGTGCAACCTTTAGAGTCTGCATTGGGCCTAGGTCTCATTGAGAGCAGATAGAGAGCATACTGTGCAACCTTTAGAGTCGGCATTGGGCCTAGGTCTCATTGAGGACAGATAGAGACCAGACTGTGCAACCTTTAGAGTCTGCATTGGGCCTAGGTCTCATTGAGGACAGATAGAGAGCAGACTATGCAACCATTAGAGTCGACACTGGTCCTAGGTCTCATTGAGGACAGATATAGAGCAGACTGTGCAACCTTTAGAGTCTGCATTGTGCATGGGTCTCATTGAGGACAGATAGAGAGCAGACTAGGCAACCATTAGAGTCGACACTGGTCCTAGGTCTAATTGAGGACAGATATAGTGCAGACTGTGCAACCTTTAGAGTCTGCATTGGGCCTGGGTCTCATTGAGGACAGATAGAGACCAGACTGTGCAACCTTTAGAGTCTGCACTGGGCCTAGGTCTCATTGAGGACAGATAGAGGGCAGACTGTGCAACCTTTAGAGTCTGCATTGGGCCTAGGTCTCATTGAGGACAGATAGAGAGCAGACTGTGCAACCTTTAGAGTCTGCACTGGGCCTAGGTCTCATTGAGGGCAGATAGAGACCATACTGTGCAACCTTTAGAATCTGCATTGGGTCTAGGTCTCACTGAGGAGAGATAGAGAGCAGACTTTGCAAACTTTAGAGTCTGCATTGG
Organism: Homo sapiens; assembly: GCF_000001405.40. NCBI lineage: Eukaryota > Metazoa > Chordata > Mammalia > Primates > Hominidae > Homo > Homo sapiens. Next base: position 114,217 of record NC_000023.11, on the reverse strand, counting down.
GTCTAGGTCTCACTGAGGACTGATAGAGAGCAGACTATGCAACCTTTAGAGTCTGCACTGGCACTAGGTCTCATTGAGGACAGATACAGAGCAGACTGCGCAAACTTTAGAGTCTGCATTGGGCCTAGGTCTCATTGAGGACAGATAGAGAGCACACTGTGTAACCTTTAGAGTCTGCATAGGGCCTCGGTCTCTATGAGGACCGATAGAGAGCAGACTGTGCAACCTTTAGAGTCTGCATTGGGCCTGGGTCTCATTGAGGACAAATAGAGAGCAGACTGTGCAACCTTTAGAGTCTGCATTGGGCCTAGGTCTCATTGAGGAGAGATGGAGAGCAGACTGTGCAACCTTTAGAGTCTGCATTGGGCCTAGGTCTCATTGAGAGCAGATAGAGAGCAGAGTGTGCAACCTTTAGAGTCTGCATTGGGCCTAGGTCTCATTGAGGGCAGATAGAGACCAGACTGTGCAACCTTTAGAGTCTGCATTGGGCCTAGGTCTCATTGAGAGCAGATAGAGAGCAGACTGTGCAACCTTTAGAGTCTGCATTGAGCCTAGGTCTCATTGAGGAGAGATAGAGAGCAGACTGTGCAACCTTTAGAGTCTGCATTGGGCCTAGGTCTCATTGAGGACAGATGGAGAGCACACTGTGCAACCTTTAGAGTCCGCATTGGGCCTAGGTGTCATTGAGGACAGATAGAGACCAGACTGTGCAACCTTTAGAGTCTGCATTGGGCCTAGGTCTCCTTGAGGTCAGATAGACAGCAGACTCTGCAACCTTTAGAGTCTGCATTGGGCCTAGGTCTAATTGCGGACAGATAGACAGCAGACTGTGCAACGTTTAGAGTCTGCATTGGGCCTAGGTCTAATTGCGGACAGATAGAGAGCAGACTATGCAACGTTTAGAGTCTGCATTGGGCCTGGGTCTCATTGAGGACAGATAGAGAGCAGACTGTGCAACCTTTAGAGTCTCTATTGGGCCTAGGTCTCATTGAGGACAGATAGGGAGCGGACTGTGCAACCTTTAGAGTCTGCATTGGGCCTAGGTCTCATTGACGGCAGACAGAGAGCAGGCTCGGCAACCCTTAGAGTCTGCATTGGGCCTAGATCTCATTGAGGACAGATAGAGAGCATACTATGCAACCTTTAGAGTCTGCACTGGGCTTAGTTCTCATTGAGGAAACATAGAGAGCAGACTGTGCAACCTTTAGAGTCTGCATTAGGCCTATGTCTCATTGAGGACAGTTAGAGAGCAGACTGTGCTACCTTTAGAGTCTGCATTTGGCCTAGGTCTCATTGAGTACAGAAAGAGACCAGAGTGTGCAACCTTTAGAGTCTGCATTGGGCCTGGGTCTCATTGAGGACAGATAGAGAGGAGACTGTAGAACCTTTATAGTCTGCATTGGGCCTAGGTCTCATTGAGGTCAGATAGGGAGCAGACTGGGCAAGCTTTAGAGTCTGCACTTGGCCTAGGTCTCATTGAGGACAGATAGAGAACAGACTGTGCAACCTTTAGAGTCTGCATTCGGCCTAGGTCTCATTGAGGGCAGTTAGAGAGCAGACTGTGCAACCTTTAGAGTCTGCATTGGGCCTAGGTCTCATTGAGAGCAGATAGAGAGCACACTGTGCAACCTCTAGAGTCGGCATTGGGCCTAGGTCTCATTGAGGACAGATAGAGACCAGACTGTGCAAACTTTAGAGTCTGCATTGGGCCTAGGTCTCATTGAGGACAGATACAGGGCAGACTGTGCAACCTTTAGAGTCTGCATTGGGCCTAGGTCTCATTGAGGTCAGATAGAGAGCAGACTGTGCAACCTTTAGAGTCTGCACTGGGCCTAGGTCTCATTGAGGGCAGATAGAGACCATACTGTGCAACCTTTAGAGTCTGCATTGGGTCTAGGTCTCACTGAGGAGAGATAGAGAGCAGACTTTGCAAACTTTAGAGTCTGCATTAGGTCTAGGTCTCACTGAGGACTGATAGAGAGCAGATTATGCAACCTTTAGAGTCTGCACTGGCCCTAGGTCTCATTGAGGACAGATAGAGAGCAGACTGCGCAAACTTTAGAGTCTGCATTGGGCCTAGGTCTCATTGAGGACAGATAGAGAGCACACTGTGTAACCTTTAGAGTCTGCATAGGGCCTCGGTCTCATTGAGGACCGATAGAGAGCAGACTGTGCCACCTTTAGAGTCTGCATTGGGCCTGGGTCTCATTGAGGAGAAATAGAGAGCAGACTGTGCAACCTTTAGAGTCTGCATTGGGCCTAGGTCTCATTGAGGACAGATGGAGAGCAGACTGTGCAACCTTTAGAGTCTGCATTGGGCCTAGGTCTCATTGAGGGCACATAGAGAGCAGACTGTGCAACCTTTAGAGTCTGCATTGGGCCTAGGTCTCATTGAGAGAAGATAGAGAGCATACAGTGCAACCTTTAGAGTCGGCATTGGGCCTAGGTCTCATTGAGGACAGATAGAGACCAGACTGTGAAACCTTTAGAGTCTGCATTGGGCCTAGGTCTCATTGAGGACAGATAGAGAGCAGAGTAGGCAACCATTAGAGTCGGCACTGGTCCTAGGTCTCATTGAGGACAGATATAGAGCAGACTGTGCAACCTTTAGAGTCTGCATTGGGCCTGGGTCTCATTGAGGACAGATAGAGAGCAGACTGTGCAACCTTTAGAGGCTGCACTGGGCCTAGGTCTCATTGAGGACAGATAGAGGGCAGACTGTGCAACCTTTAGAGTCTGCATTGGGCCTAGGTCTCATTGAGGACCGATAGAGAGCAGACTGTGCAACCTTTAGAGTCTGCACTGGGCCTAGGTCTCATTGAGGGCAGATAGAGACCATACTGTGCAACCTTTAGAGTCTGCATTGGGCCTAGGTCTCACTGAGGAGAGATAGAGAGCACACTGTGTAACCTTTAGAGACTGCATAGGGCCTCGGTCTCATTGAGGACCGATAGAGAGCAGACTGTGCCACCTTTAGAGTCTGCATTGGGCCTGGGTCTCATTGAGGACAAATAGAGAGCAGACTGTGCAACCTTTAGAGTCTGCATTGGGCCTAGGTCTCATTGAGGACAGATGGAGAGCAGACTGTGCAACCTATAGAGTCTGCATTGGGCCTAGGTCTCATTGAGGACAGATGGAAAGCAGACTGTGCAACCTTTAGAGTCTGCATTGGACCTAGGTCTCATTGAGGACAGATAGAGAGCAGACTATGCAAACTTTAGAGGCTGGACTGAGCCTAGGTCTCATTGAGGACAGATAGAGAGCAGACTGTGCAACCTTTACAGTCTGCATTGGGCCTGGGCCTCATTCAGGACAGATAGAGACCAGACTGCGCAACCTTTAGAGTCTGCATTGGGCCTAGGTCTCATTGAGAGTAGATAGAGAGCAGACTGTGCAACCTTTAGAGTCTACATTGGGCCTAGGTCTCATTGAGGGCAGATAGAGAGCAGACTGTGCAACCTTTAGAGTCTGCACTTGGCCTAGGTCTCATTGAGGACACATAGAGAGCAGACTGTGCAACCTTTAGAGTCTGCATTGGGCCTAGGTCTCGTTGAGGGCAGATAGAGAGCAGACTGTGCAAACTTTAGAGTTTGCATTGGGCCTAGGTCTCATTGAGGAGAGATAGAGAGCAGACTGTGCAACCTTTAGAGTCTGCATTGGGCCTAGGTCTCATTGAGGACAGATGGAGAGCACACTGTGCAACCTTTAGAGTCCGCATTGGGCCTAGGTCTCATTGAGGACAGATAGAGACCAGACTGTGCAACCTTTAGTGTTTGCATTGGGCCTAGGTCTCATTGAGGGCAGATAGAGAGCAGAATGTGCAACCCTTAGAGTCTGCATTGGGCCTAGGTCTCATTGAGGACAGATAGAGAGCAGACTGTGCAACCTTTAGAGTCTGCACTGGGCCTAGGTCTCTTTGAGGACAGACAGAGAGCAGACTGTGCAAACTTTAGAGTCTGCACTGGGCCTAGGTCTCATTGAGGACAGATATAGAGGAGACTGTGTAACCTTTAGAGTCTGCATTGGGCCTGGGTCTCATTGAGGACAGATAGAGAACAGACTGTGCAACCTTTAGAGTCTGCATTGGGTCTAGGTCTCATTGAGGGCAGTTAGAGAGCAGACTGTGCCACCTTTAGAGTCTGCATTGGGCCTAGGTCTCATCGACAGCAGATAGAGAGCACACTGTGCAACCTCTAGAGTCGGCATTGGGCCTAGGTCTCATTGAGGACAGATAGAGACCAGACTGTTAAAACTTTAGAGTCTGCATTGGGCCTAGGTCTAATTGAGGACAGATAGAGGGCAGACTGTGCAACCTTTAGAGTCTGCATTGGGCCTAGGTCTCATTGAGGGCAGATAGAGAGCAGGCTCGGGAACCCTTAGAGTCTGCATTGGGCCTAGATCTCATTGAGGACAGATAGAGAGCATACTATGCAACCTTTAGAGTCTGCATTGGGCCTAGGTCTCATTGAGAGCACATAGAGAGCAGACTGTGCAACCTTTAGAGTCTGCATTGGGCCTATGTCTCATTGAGGACAGTTAGAGAGCAGGCTGTGCAACCTTTACAGTCTGCATTTGGCCTAGGTCTCATTGAGGACAGAAAGAGACCAGAGTGCGCAAACTTTAGAGTCTGCATTGGGCCTAGGTCTCATTGAGGACAGATAGAGAGCAGACTGTAGAACCTTTATAGTCTGCATTGGGCCTAGGTCTCATTGAGGTCAGATAGAGAGCAGACTGTGCAAGCTTTAGAGTCTGCACTTGGCCTAGGTCTCATTGAGGACAGATAGAGAACAGACTGTGCAACCTTTAGAGTCTGCATTGGGCCTAGGTCTCATTGAGGGCAGTTAGAGAGCAGACTGTGCAACCTTTAGAGTCTGCATTGGGCCTAGGTCTCATTGAGAGCAGATAGAGAGCACACTGTGCAACCTCTAGAGTCGGCATTGGGCCTAGGTCTCATTGAGGACAGATAGAGACCAGACTGTGCAAACTTTAGAGTCTGCATTGGGCCTAGGTCTCATTGAGGACAGATAGAGGGCAGACTGTGCAACCTTTAGAGTCTGCATTGAGCCTAGGTCTCATTGAGGACAGATAGAGAGCAGACTGTGCAACCTTTCGAGTCTGCACTGGGCCTAGGTCTCATTGAGGGCATATAGAGACCATACTGTGCAAACTTTAGAGTCTGCATTGGGTCTAGGTCTCACTGAGGAGAGATAGAGAGCAGACTTTGCAAACTTTAGAGTCTGCATTAGGTCTAGGTCTCACTGAGGACTGATAGAGAGCAGACTATGCAACTTTAGAGTCTGCACTGGCCCTAGGTCTCATTGAGGACAGATAGAGAGCAGACTGCGCAAACTTTAGAGTCTGCATTGGGTCTAGGTCTCATTGAGGACAGATAGAGAGCACACTGTGTAACCTTTAGAGTCTGCATAGAGCCTCGGTCTCATTGAGGACCGATAGAGAGCAGACTGTGCCACCTTTAGAGTCTGCATTGGGCCTGGGTCTCACTGAGGAGAAATAGAGAGCAGACTGTGCAACCTTTAGAGTCTGCATTGGGCCTAGGTCTCATTGAGGACAGATGGAGAGCAGACTGTGCAACCTTTAGAGTCTGCATTGGGCCTAGGTCTCATTGAGGGCAGATAGAGAGCAGACTGTGCAACCTTTAGAGTCTGCATTGGGCCTAGGTCTCATTGAGAGCAGATAGAGAGCATACTGTGCAACCTTTAGAGTCGGCATTGGGCCTAGGTCTCATTGAGGACAGATAGAGACCAGACTGTGCAACCTTTAGAGTCTGCATTGGGCCTAGGTCTCATTGAGGACAGATAGAGAGCAGACTATGCAACCATTAGAGTCGACACTGGTCCTAGGTCTCATTGAGGACAGATATAGAGCAGACTGTGCAACCTTTAGAGTCTGCATTGTGCATGGGTCTCATTGAGGACAGATAGAGAGCAGACTAGGCAACCATTAGAGTCGACACTGGTCCTAGGTCTAATTGAGGACAGATATAGTGCAGACTGTGCAACCTTTAGAGTCTGCATTGGGCCTGGGTCTCATTGAGGACAGATAGAGACCAGACTGTGCAACCTTTAGAGTCTGCACTGGGCCTAGGTCTCATTGAGGACAGATAGAGGGCAGACTGTGCAACCTTTAGAGTCTGCATTGGGCCTAGGTCTCATTGAGGACAGATAGAGAGCAGACTGTGCAACCTTTAGAGTCTGCACTGGGCCTAGGTCTCATTGAGGGCAGATAGAGACCATACTGTGCAACCTTTAGAATCTGCATTGGGTCTAGGTCTCACTGAGGAGAGATAGAGAGCAGACTTTGCAAACTTTAGAGTCTGCATTGGGTCTAGGTCTCACTGAGGACTGATAGAGAGCAGACTATGCAACCTTTAGAGTCTGCACTGGCACTAGGTCTCATTGAGGACAGATACAGAGCAGACTGCGCAAACTTTAGAGTCTGCATTGGGCCTAGGTCTCATTGAGGACAGATAGAGAGCACACTGTGTAACCTTTAGAGTCTGCATAGGGCCTCGGTCTCTATGAGGACCGATAGAGAGCAGACTGTGCAACCTTTAGAGTCTGCATTGGGCCTGGGTCTCATTGAGGACAAATAGAGAGCAGACTGTGCAACCTTTAGAGTCTGCATTGGGCCTAGGTCTCATTGAGGAGAGATGGAGAGCAGACTGTGCAACCTTTAGAGTCTGCATTGGGCCTAGGTCTCATTGAGAGCAGATAGAGAGCAGAGTGTGCAACCTTTAGAGTCTGCATTGGGCCTAGGTCTCATTGAGGGCAGATAGAGACCAGACTGTGCAACCTTTAGAGTCTGCATTGGGCCTAGGTCTCATTGAGAGCAGATAGAGAGCAGACTGTGCAACCTTTAGAGTCTGCATTGAGCCTAGGTCTCATTGAGGAGAGATAGAGAGCAGACTGTGCAACCTTTAGAGTCTGCATTGGGCCTAGGTCTCATTGAGGACAGATGGAGAGCACACTGTGCAACCTTTAGAGTCCGCATTGGGCCTAGGTGTCATTGAGGACAGATAGAGACCAGACTGTGCAACCTTTAGAGTCTGCATTGGGCCTAGGTCTCCTTGAGGTCAGATAGACAGCAGACTCTGCAACCTTTAGAGTCTGCATTGGGCCTAGGTCTAATTGCGGACAGATAGACAGCAGACTGTGCAACGTTTAGAGTCTGCATTGGGCCTAGGTCTAATTGCGGACAGATAGAGAGCAGACTATGCAACGTTTAGAGTCTGCATTGGGCCTGGGTCTCATTGAGGACAGATAGAGAGCAGACTGTGCAACCTTTAGAGTCTCTATTGGGCCTAGGTCTCATTGAGGACAGATAGGGAGCGGACTGTGCAACCTTTAGAGTCTGCATTGGGCCTAGGTCTCATTGACGGCAGACAGAGAGCAGGCTCGGCAACCCTTAGAGTCTGCATTGGGCCTAGATCTCATTGAGGACAGATAGAGAGCATACTATGCAACCTTTAGAGTCTGCACTGGGCTTAGTTCTCATTGAGGAAACATAGAGAGCAGACTGTGCAACCTTTAGAGTCTGCATTAGGCCTATGTCTCATTGAGGACAGTTAGAGAGCAGACTGTGCTACCTTTAGAGTCTGCATTTGGCCTAGGTCTCATTGAGTACAGAAAGAGACCAGAGTGTGCAACCTTTAGAGTCTGCATTGGGCCTGGGTCTCATTGAGGACAGATAGAGAGGAGACTGTAGAACCTTTATAGTCTGCATTGGGCCTAGGTCTCATTGAGGTCAGATAGGGAGCAGACTGGGCAAGCTTTAGAGTCTGCACTTGGCCTAGGTCTCATTGAGGACAGATAGAGAACAGACTGTGCAACCTTTAGAGTCTGCATTCGGCCTAGGTCTCATTGAGGGCAGTTAGAGAGCAGACTGTGCAACCTTTAGAGTCTGCATTGGGCCTAGGTCTCATTGAGAGCAGATAGAGAGCACACTGTGCAACCTCTAGAGTCGGCATTGGGCCTAGGTCTCATTGAGGACAGATAGAGACCAGACTGTGCAAACTTTAGAGTCTGCATTGGGCCTAGGTCTCATTGAGGACAGATACAGGGCAGACTGTGCAACCTTTAGAGTCTGCATTGGGCCTAGGTCTCATTGAGGTCAGATAGAGAGCAGACTGTGCAACCTTTAGAGTCTGCACTGGGCCTAGGTCTCATTGAGGGCAGATAGAGACCATACTGTGCAACCTTTAGAGTCTGCATTGGGTCTAGGTCTCACTGAGGAGAGATAGAGAGCAGACTTTGCAAACTTTAGAGTCTGCATTAGGTCTAGGTCTCACTGAGGACTGATAGAGAGCAGATTATGCAACCTTTAGAGTCTGCACTGGCCCTAGGTCTCATTGAGGACAGATAGAGAGCAGACTGCGCAAACTTTAGAGTCTGCATTGGGCCTAGGTCTCATTGAGGACAGATAGAGAGCACACTGTGTAACCTTTAGAGTCTGCATAGGGCCTCGGTCTCATTGAGGACCGATAGAGAGCAGACTGTGCCACCTTTAGAGTCTGCATTGGGCCTGGGTCTCATTGAGGAGAAATAGAGAGCAGACTGTGCAACCTTTAGAGTCTGCATTGGGCCTAGGTCTCATTGAGGACAGATGGAGAGCAGACTGTGCAACCTTTAGAGTCTGCATTGGGCCTAGGTCTCATTGAGGGCACATAGAGAGCAGACTGTGCAACCTTTAGAGTCTGCATTGGGCCTAGGTCTCATTGAGAGAAGATAGAGAGCATACAGTGCAACCTTTAGAGTCGGCATTGGGCCTAGGTCTCATTGAGGACAGATAGAGACCAGACTGTGAAACCTTTAGAGTCTGCATTGGGCCTAGGTCTCATTGAGGACAGATAGAGAGCAGAGTAGGCAACCATTAGAGTCGGCACTGGTCCTAGGTCTCATTGAGGACAGATATAGAGCAGACTGTGCAACCTTTAGAGTCTGCATTGGGCCTGGGTCTCATTGAGGACAGATAGAGAGCAGACTGTGCAACCTTTAGAGGCTGCACTGGGCCTAGGTCTCATTGAGGACAGATAGAGGGCAGACTGTGCAACCTTTAGAGTCTGCATTGGGCCTAGGTCTCATTGAGGACCGATAGAGAGCAGACTGTGCAACCTTTAGAGTCTGCACTGGGCCTAGGTCTCATTGAGGGCAGATAGAGACCATACTGTGCAACCTTTAGAGTCTGCATTGGGCCTAGGTCTCACTGAGGAGAGATAGAGAGCACACTGTGTAACCTTTAGAGACTGCATAGGGCCTCGGTCTCATTGAGGACCGATAGAGAGCAGACTGTGCCACCTTTAGAGTCTGCATTGGGCCTGGGTCTCATTGAGGACAAATAGAGAGCAGACTGTGCAACCTTTAGAGTCTGCATTGGGCCTAGGTCTCATTGAGGACAGATGGAGAGCAGACTGTGCAACCTATAGAGTCTGCATTGGGCCTAGGTCTCATTGAGGACAGATGGAAAGCAGACTGTGCAACCTTTAGAGTCTGCATTGGACCTAGGTCTCATTGAGGACAGATAGAGAGCAGACTATGCAAACTTTAGAGGCTGGACTGAGCCTAGGTCTCATTGAGGACAGATAGAGAGCAGACTGTGCAACCTTTACAGTCTGCATTGGGCCTGGGCCTCATTCAGGACAGATAGAGACCAGACTGCGCAACCTTTAGAGTCTGCATTGGGCCTAGGTCTCATTGAGAGTAGATAGAGAGCAGACTGTGCAACCTTTAGAGTCTACATTGGGCCTAGGTCTCATTGAGGGCAGATAGAGAGCAGACTGTGCAACCTTTAGAGTCTGCACTTGGCCTAGGTCTCATTGAGGACACATAGAGAGCAGACTGTGCAACCTTTAGAGTCTGCATTGGGCCTAGGTCTCGTTGAGGGCAGATAGAGAGCAGACTGTGCAAACTTTAGAGTTTGCATTGGGCCTAGGTCTCATTGAGGAGAGATAGAGAGCAGACTGTGCAACCTTTAGAGTCTGCATTGGGCCTAGGTCTCATTGAGGACAGATGGAGAGCACACTGTGCAACCTTTAGAGTCCGCATTGGGCCTAGGTCTCATTGAGGACAGATAGAGACCAGACTGTGCAACCTTTAGTGTTTGCATTGGGCCTAGGTCTCATTGAGGGCAGATAGAGAGCAGAATGTGCAACCCTTAGAGTCTGCATTGGGCCTAGGTCTCATTGAGGACAGATAGAGAGCAGACTGTGCAACCTTTAGAGTCTGCACTGGGCCTAGGTCTCTTTGAGGACAGACAGAGAGCAGACTGTGCAAACTTTAGAGTCTGCACTGGGCCTAGGTCTCATTGAGGACACATAGAGAGCAGACTGTGCAACCTTTAGAGTCTGCATTGGGCCTATGTCTCATTGAGGACAGTTAGAGAGCAGACTGTGCAAACTTTAGAGTCTGCATTTGGCCTACGTCTCATTGAGGACAAAAAGAGACCAGAGTGTGCAACCTTTAGAGTCGGCATTGGGACTCGGTCTCATTGAGGACAGATAGAGAGCAGACTGTAGAACCTTCATAGTCTGCATTGGGCCTAGGTCTCATTGAGGTCAGATAGAGAGCAGACTGTGCAAGCTTTAGAGTCTGCACTTGGCCTAGGTCTCATTGAGGACAGATAGAGAGCAGACTGTGCAAACTTTAGAGTCTGCATTGGGCCTAGGTCTCATTGAGGGCAGATAGAGACCAGACTATGCAACGTTTAGAGTCTGCATTGGGCCTAGGTGTCATTGAGGGCAGTTAGAGAGCAGACTGTGCAACCTTTAGAATCTGCATTGGGCCTAGGTCTCATTGAGAGCAGATAGAGAGCACACTGTGCAAACTTTAGAGTCGGCATTGGGCCTAGGTCTCATTGAGGACAGATAGAGACCGGACTGTGCAACCTTTAGAGTCTGCATTGGGCCTAGGTCTCATTGAGGACAGATAGAGAGCACACTAGGCAACCATTAGAGTCCGCACTGGTCCTAGGTCTCATTGAGGACAGATATAGAGCAGACTGTGCAACCTTTAGAGTCTGCATTGGGCCTGGGTCTCATTGAGGACAGATAGCGACCAGACTGTACAACCTTTAGAGTCTGCATTGGGCTTAGGTCTCATTGAGGGCAGTTAGAGAGCAGACTGTGCAACCTTTAGAGTCTGCATTGGGCCTAGGTCTCATTGAGAGCAGATAGAGAGCACACTGTGCAACCTCTAGAGTCGGCATTGGGCCTAGGTCTCATTGAGGACAGATAGAGACCAGACTGTTGAAACTTTAGAGGCTGCATTGGGCCTAGGTCTCATTGAGGACAGATAGAGGGCAGACTGTGCAACCTTTAGAGTCTGCAATGGACCTAGGTCTCATTGAGGACAGATACGGAGCAGACTGTGCAAACTTTAAAGTCTGCACTGAGCCTAGGTCTCATTGAGGGCAGATAGAGACCAGACTGTGCAACCTTTAGAGTCTGCATTGGGTCTAGGTCTCACTGAGGCGAGATAGAGAGCAGACTTTGCAAACTTTAGAGTCTCCATTGGGTCTAGGTCTCACTGAGGACTGATAGGAGCAGACTATGCAACCTTTAGAGTCTGCACTGGCCCTAGGTCTCATTGAGGACAGATAGAGAGCAGACTGCGCAAACTTTAGAGTCTGCATTGGGCCTAGGTCTCACTGAGGACAGATAGAGAGCACACTGTGTAACCTTTAGAGTCTGCATAGAGCCTCGGTCTCATTGAGGACAGATAGAGAGCAGACTGTGCAACCTTTAGAGTCTCTATTGGGCCTAGATCTCATTGAGGACAGATAGGGAGCGGACTGTGCAACCTTTAGAGTCTGCATTGGGCCTAGGTCTCATTGAGGGCAGATAGAGAGCAGGCTCGGCAACCCTTAGAGTCTGCATTGGGCCTAGATCTTATTGAGGACAGATAGAGAGCATACTATGCAACCTTGAGAGTCTGCACTGGGCCTAGGTCTCATTGAGGACACATAGAGAGCAGACTGTGCAACCTTTAGAGTCTGCATTGGGCCTATGTCTCATTGAGGACAGTTAGAGAGCAGACTGTGCAACCTTTAGAGTCTGCATTTGGCCTAGGTCTCATTGAGGACAGAAAGAGACCAGAGTGTGCAACCTTTAGAGTTTGCATTGGGCCTAGGTCTCATTGAGGACAGATAGAGAGCAGACTGTAGAACCTTTATAGTCTGCATTGGGCCTAGGTCTCATTGAGGTCAGATAGAGAGCAGACTGTGCAAGCTTTAGAGTCTACACTTGGCCTAGGTCTCATTGAGGACAGATAGAGAACAGACTGTGCAACCTTTAGAGTCTGCATTGGGCCTAGGTCTCATTGAGGGCAGATAGAGACCAGACTGTGCAACCTTTAGAGTTTGCATTGGGCCTAGGTCTCATTGAGGGCAGATAGAGAGCAGACTGTGCCACCTTTAGAGTCTACATTGGGCCTAGGTCTCATTGAGGACAGATAGAGAGCAGACTGTGCAACCTTTATAGTCTGCACTGGGCCTAGGTCTCTTTGAGGACAGACAGAGAGCAGACTGTGCAAACTTTAGAGTCTGCACTGGGCCTAGGTGTCATTGAGGACAGATAGAGACCAGACTGTGCAACCTTTAGAGTCTGCATTGGGCCTAGGTCTCCTTGAGGTCAGATAGGCAGCAGACTGTGCAACCTTTAGAGTCTGCATTGGGTCTAGGTCTAATTGCGGACAGATGGAGAGCAGACTATGCAAAGTTTACAGTCTGCATTGGGCCTGGGTCTCATTGAGGACAGATAGAGAGCAGACTGTGCAACCTTTAGAGTCTCTATTGGGCCTAGGTCTCATTGAGGACAGATAGAGAGCAGACTGTGCAACCTTTAGAGTCTGCATTGGGCCTAGGTCTCATTGAGGGCAGATAGAGAGCAGGCTCGGCAACCCTTAGAGTCTGCGTTGGGCTTAGATCTCATTGAGGACAGATAGAGAGCATACTATGCAACCTTTAGAGTCTGCACTGGGCCTAGGTCTCATTGAGGACACATAGAGAGCAGACTGTGGAACCTTTAGAGTCTGCATTGGGCCTATGTCTCAATGAGGACAGTTAGAGAGCAGACTGTGCAACCTTTAGAGTCTGCATTGGGCCTAGGTCTCATTGAGGACAGATAGAGAGCAGACTGTAGAACCTTTATAGTCTGCATTGGGCCTAGGTCTCATTGAGGTCAGATAGAGAGCAGACTGTGCAAGCTTTAGAGTCTGCACTTGGCCTAGGTCTCATTGAGGACAGATAGAGAGCAGACTGTGCAACCTTTAGAGTCTGCATTGGGCCTAGGTGTCATTGAGGGCAGATAGAGACCAGACTATGCAACGTTTAGAGTCTGCATTGGGCCTAGGTGTCATTGAGGGCAGTTAGAGAGCAGACTGTGCTACCTTTAGAGTCTGCATTAGGCCTAGGTCTCATTGAGAGCAGATAGAGAGCACACTGTGCAAACTTTAGAGTCGGCATTGGGCCTAGGTCTCATTGAGGACAGATAGAGACCGGACTGTGCAACCTTTAGAGTCTGCATTGGGCCTAGGTCTCATTGAGGACAGATAAAGAGCAGACTAGGCAACCATTAGAGTCGGCACTGGTCCTAAGTCTCATTGAGGACAGATATAGAGGAGACTGTGTAACCTTTAGAGTCTGCATTGGGCCTGGGTCTCATTGAGGACAGATAGCGACCAGACTGTGCAACCTTTAGAGTCTGCATTGGGTCTAGGTCTCATTGAGGGCAGTTAGAGAGCAGACTGTGCCACCTTTAGAGTCTGCATTGGGCCTAGGTCTCATCGACAGCAGATAGAGAGCACACTGTGCAACCTCTAGAGTCGGCATTGGGCCTAGGTCTCATTGAGGACAGATAGAGACCAGACTGTTAAAACTTTAGAGTCTGCATTGGGCCTAGGTCTAATTGAGGACAGATAGAGGGCAGACTGTGCAACCTTTAGAGTCTGCATTGGGCCTAGGTCTCATTGAGGACAGATACAGAGCAGACTGTGCAAACTTTAAAGTCTGCACTGAACCTAGGTCTCATTGAGGGCAGATAGAGACCATAATGTGCAACCTTTAGAGTCTGCATTGGGTCTAGGTCTCACTGAGGAGAGATAGAGAGCAGACTTTGCAAACTTTAGAGTCTCCATTGGGTCTAGGTCTCACTGAGGACTGATAGAGAGCAGACTATGCAACCTTTAGAGTCTGCACTGGCCCTAGGTCTCATTGAGGACACATAGAGAGCAGACTGCGCAAACTTTAGAGTCTGCATTGGGCCTAGGTCTCACTGAGGACAGATAGAGAGCACACTGTGTAACCTTTAGAGTCTGCATAGGGCCTCGGTCTCATTGAGGACCGATAGAGAGCAGACTGTGCCACCTTTAGAGTCTGCATTGGGCCTGGGTCTCATTGAGGACAAATAGAGAGCAGACTGTGCAACCTTTAGAGTCTGCATTGGGCCTAGGTCTCATTGAGGACAGATAGAGAGCAGACTGTGCAACCTTTAGAGTCTGCATTGGGCCTAGGTCTCATTGAGGGCAGATAGAGAGCAGACTGTGCAACCTTTAGAGTCTGCACTGGGCCTAGGTCTCATCGAGGACAGATAGAGAGCAGACTGTGCAACCTTTAGAGTCTGCATTGGACCTAGGTCTCATTGAGGACAGATAGAGAGCAGACTATGCAAACTTTACAGTCTGCACTGGGCCTAGGTCTCATTGAGGACAGATAGAGACCAGAGTGTGCAACCTTTAGAGTCTGCATTGGGCCTAGGTCTCATTGAGGACAGACAGAGAGCAGACTGTAGAACCTTTATAGTCTGCATTGGGCCTAGGTCTCATTGAGGTCAGATAGAGAGCAGACTGTGCAAGCTTTAGAGTCTGCACTTGGCCTAGGTCTCATTGAGGACAGATAGAGAGCAGACTGTGCAACCTTTAGAGTCTGCATTGGGCCTAGGTCTCATTGAGGACAGATAGAGACCAGACTGTGCAACCTTTATAGTCTGCACTGGGCCTAGGTCTCATTGAGGAGAGATAGAGAGCAGACTGCGCAACCTTTAGAGTCTTCATTGGGCCTAGGTCTCATTGAGGGCAGATAGAGACCAGAGTGTTCAACCTTTAGAGTCTGCATTGGGCCTAGGTCTCATTGAGGACAGATAGAGAGCAGACTGTAGAAACTTTATAGTCTGCATTGGGCCTAGGTCTCATTGAGGTCAGATAGAGAACAGACTGTGCAAGCTTTAGAGTCTGCACTTGGCCTAGGTCTCATTGAGGACAGATAGAGAACAGACTGTGCAACCTTTAGAGTCTGCACTAGGCCTAGGTCTCATTGAGGACAGATAGAGAGCAGACTGTGCAACCTTTAGAGTCTGCATTGGACCTAGGTCTCATTGAGGACAGATAGAGAGCAGACTATGCAAACTTTAGAGGCTGCACTGAGCCTAGGTCTCATTGAGGACAGATAGAGAGCAGACTGTGCAACCTTTACAGTCTGCATTGGATCTGGGCCTCATTCAGGACAGATAGAGACCAGACTGTGCAACCTTTAGAGTCTGCATTGGGCCTAGGTCTCATTGAGAGCAGATAGAGAGCAGACTGTGCAACCTTTAGAGTCTGCATTGGGCCTAGGTCTCATTGAGGGCAGATAGAGAGCAGACTGTGCAAACTTTAGAGTCTGCATTGGGCCTAGGTCTCATTGAGGAGAGATAGAGAGCAGACTGTGCAACCTTTAGAGTCTGCATTGGGCCTAGGTCTCATTGAGGACAGATGGAGAGCACACTGTGCAACCTTTAGAGTCCGCATTGGGCCTAGGTCTCATTGAGGACAGATAGAGACCAGACTGTGCAACTTTAGAGTCTGCATTGGGCCTAGGTCTCATTGAGGGCAGATAGAGAGCAGACTGTGCAACCTTTAGAGTCTGCACTGGGCCTAGGTCTCATTGAGGACAGATAGAGAGCAGACTGTGCAACCTTTAGAGTCTGCACTGTGCCTAGGTCTCTTTGAGGACAGACAGAGAGCAGACTGTGCAAACTTTAGAGTCTGCACTGGGCCTAGGTGTCATTGAGGACAGATAGAGACCAGACTGTGCAACCTTTAGAGTCTGCATTGGGCCTAAGTCTCCTTGAGGTCAGATAGACAGCAGACTGTGCAACCTTTAGAGTCTGCATTGGGCCTAGGTCTAATTGCGGACAGACAGAGAGCAGACTATGCAACGTTTAGAGTCTGCATTGGGCCTGGGTCTCATTGAGGACAGATAGAGTGCAGACTGTGCAACCTTTAGAGTCTCTATTGGGCCTAGGTCTCATTGAGGACAGATAGAGAGCGGACTGTGCAACCTTTAGAGTCTGCATTGGGCCTAGGTCTCATTGAGGGCAGATAGAGAGCAGGCTCGGCAACCCTTAGAGTCTGCATTGGGCTTAGATCTCATTGAGGACAGATAGAGAGCATACTATGCAACCTTTAGAGTCTGCACTGGGCCTAGGTCTCATTGAGGACACATAGAGAGCAGACTGTGCAACCTTTAGAGTCTGCATTGGGCCTATGTCTCATTGAGGACAGTTAGAGAGCAGACTGTGCAACCTTTAGAGTCTGCATTTGGCCTAGGTCTCATTGAGGACAGAAAGAGACCAGAGTGTGCAACCTTTAGAGTCTGCATTGGGCCTAGGTCTCATTGAGGACAGATAGAGAGCAGACTGTAGAACCTTTATAGTCTGCATTGGGCCTAGGTCTCATTGAGGTCAGATAGAGAGCAGACTGTGCAAGCTTTAGAGTCTGCACTTGGCCTAGGTCTCATTGAGGACAGATAGAGAGCAGACTGTGCAACCTTTAGAGTCTGCATTGGGCCTAGGTCTCATTGAGGGCAGATAGAGACCAGACTATGCAACGTTTAGAGTCTGCATTGGGCCTAGGTGTCATTGAGGGCAGTTAGAGAGCAGACTGTGCTACCTTTAGAGTCTGCATTGGGCCTAGGTCTCATTGAGAGCAGATAGAGAGCACACTGTGCAAACTTTAGAGTCGGCATTGGGCCTAGGTCTCATTGAGGACAGATAGAGACCGGACTGTGCAACCTTTAGAGTCTGCATTGGGCCTAGGTCTCATTGAGGACAGATAAAGAGCAGACTAGGCAACCATTAGAGTCGGCACTTTTCCTAGGTCTCATTGAGGACAGATATAGAGCAGACTGTGCAACCTTTAGAGTCTGCATTGGGTCTGGGTCTCATTGAGGACAGATAGCGACCAGACTGTGCAACCTTTAGAGTCTGCTTTGGGCTTAGGTCTCATTGAGGGCAGTTAGAGAGCAGACTGTGCAACCTTTAGAGTCTGCATTGGGTCTAGGTCTCATTGAGAGCAGATAGAGAGCACACTGTGCAACCTCTAGAGTCGGCATTGGGCCTAGGTCTCATTGAGGACAGATAGAGACCAGACTGTTAAAACTTTAGAGTCTGCATTGGGCCTAGGTCTCATTGAGGACAGATAGAGGGCAGACTGTGCAACCTTTAGAGTCTGCATTGGTCCTAGGTCTCATTGAGGACAGATAGAGAGCAGACTGCGCAAACTTTAGAGTCTGCATTGGGCCTAGGTCTCACTGAGGACAGATAGAGAGCACACTGTGTAACCTTTAGAGTCTGCATAGGGCCTCGGTCTCATTGAGGACCGATAGAGAGCAGACTGTGCAACCTTTAGAGTCTGCATTGGGCCTGGGTCTCATTGAGGACAAATAGAGAGCAGACTGTGCAACCTTTAGAGTCTGCATTGGGCCTAGGTCTCATTGAGGACAGATAGAGAGCAGACTGTGCAACCTTTAGAGTCTGCATTGGGCCTAGGTCTCATTGAGGGCAGATAGAGAGCAGACTGTGCAACCTTTAGAGTCTGCACTAGGCCTAGGTCTCATCGAGGACAGATAGAGAGCAGACTGTGCAACCTTTAGAGTCTGCATTGGACCTAGGTCTCATTGAGGACAGATAGAAAGCAGACTATGCAAACTTTACAGTCTGCACTGGGCCTAGGTCTCATTGAGGACAGATAGAGACCAGAGTGTGCAACCTTTAGAGTCTGCATTGGGCCTAGGTCTCATTGAGGACAGATAGAGAGCAGACTGTAGAACCTTTATAGTCTGCATTGGGCCTAGGTCTCATTGAGGTCAGATAGAGAGCAGACTGTGCAAGCTTTAGAGTCTGCACTTGGCCTAGGTCTCATTGAGGACAGATAGAGAGCAGACTGTGCAACCTTTAGAGTCTGCATTGGGCCTAGGTCTCATTGAGGACAGATAGAGACCAGACTGTGCAACCTTTATAGTCTGCACTGGGCCTAGGTCTCATTGAGGACAGATAGAGAGCAGACTGCGCAACCTTTAGAGTCTTCATTGGTCCTAGGTCTCATTGAGGGCAGATAGAGACCAGACTATGCAACCTTTAGAGTCTGCATTGGGCCTAGGTCTCATTGAGGGCAGATAGAGAGCAGACTGTGCAACCTTTAGAGTATGCATTGGGCCTAGGTCTCATTGAGGGCAGATAGAGAGCAGACTGTGCAACGTTTAGAGTCTGCATTGTGCCTAAGTCTCATTGAGGACAGATAGAGAGCAGACTGTGCAACCTTTCGAGTCTGCACTGGGCCTAGGTCTCATTGAGGGCAGATAGGGACCAGAGTATGCAACCTTTAGAGTCTGCACTGGGCCTAGGTCTCATTGAGGGCAGATAGAGACCAGACTATGCAACCTTTAGAGTCTGCATTGGGACCCCAGAAATCCTAAACTTTGTGTGGTCTAAGGACGGTTGGAGAGCCACGTCTGGACCATCCCTGTGGCTGCCACCTGAATGGCGGCCAGCACGAGATCTTATGCTTGCACACTGTGCCTGCAAGGGTGGGAGGGGCTGGCTTATCTCAGACAACCTCCTGATAGTGGGGTAAACCAAAAATAGAATTCTAAGCCCCTCAGCTGACTGAGTGGACCTGTTTGTAGCCAAGGGGATCCCAAAGAAACCTGAAAAACAACTCAGGCCGTGACAGGAAGAGGGGATCTCGGGCCGTGACAGGAAGAGGGAGTCTCGGGCCGTGACAGGAAGAGGGAGTCTCGGGCCGTGACAGGAAGAGGGAGTCTCGGGCCGTGACTGGAAGAGGGGGTCTCGGGCCGTGACAGGAAGAGGGGGTCTCGGGCCGTGACAGGAAGAGGGGGTCTCGGGCCGTGACAGGAAGAGGGGGTCTCGGGCCGTGACAGGAAGAGGGGGTCTCGGGCCGTGACAGGAAGAGGGGGTCTCGGGCCGTGACAGGAAGAGGGAGTCTCGGGCCGTGACAGGAAGAGGGAGTCTCGGGCCGTGATAGGAAGAGGGAGTCTCGGGCCGTGACAGGAAGAGGGGATCTCGGGCCGTGACAGGAAGAGGGAGTCTCGGGCCGTGACAGGAAGAGGG
>NC_000023.11:10000-44821 GCF_000001405.40 Homo sapiens | reverse complement strand
TATCTGTCCTCAATGAGACCTAGGCCCAATGCAGACTCTAAAGTTTGCACACTCTGGTCTCTTTCTGTCCTCAATGAGACCTAGGCCAAATGCAGACTCTAAAGGTTGCACAGTCTGCTCTCTAACTGTCCTCAATGAGACATAGGCCCAATGCAGACTCTAAAGGTTGCACAGTCTGCTCTCTATGTGTCCTCAATGAGACCTAGGCCCAGTGCAGACTCTAAAGGTTGCATAGCATGCTCTCTATCTGTCCTCAATGATATCTAGGCCCAATGCAGACTCTAAGGGTTGCCGAGCCTGCTCTCTATCTGCCCTCAATGAGACCTAGGCCCAATGCAGACTCTAAAGGTTGCACAGTCCGCTCCCTATCTGTCCTCAATGAGACCTAGGCCCAATAGAGACCCTAAAGGTTGCACAGTCTGCTCTCTATCTGTCCTCAATGAGACCCAGGCCCAATGCAGACTCTAAACGTTGCATAGTCTGCTCTCTATCTGTCCGCAATTAGACCTAGGCCCAATGCAGACTCTAAACGTTGCACAGTCTGCTGTCTATCTGTCCGCAATTAGACCTAGGCCCAATGCAGACTCTAAAGGTTGCAGAGTCTGCTGTCTGTCTGACCTCAAGGAGACCTAGGCCCAATGCAGACTCTAAAGGTTGCACAGTCTGGTCTCTATCTGTCCTCAATGACACCTAGGCCCAGTGCAGACTCTAAAGTTTGCACATTCTGCTCTCTGTCTGTCCTCAAAGAGACCTAGGGCCAGTGCAGACTCTAAAGGTTGCACAGTCTCCTCTCTATTTGTCCTCACTGATACCTAGGCCCATTGTAGACTCTAAAGGTTGCACAGTCTGCCCTCTATCTGTCCTCAATGAGACCTAGGCCCAATGCAGACTCTAAAGTTTCAACAGTCTGGTCTCTATCTGTCCTCAATGAGACCTAGGCCCAATGCCGACTCTAGAGGTTGCACAGTGTGCTCTCTATCTGCTCTCAATGAGACCTAGGCCCAATGCAGACTCTAAAGGTTGCACAGTCTGCTCTCTAACTGCCCTCAATGAGACCTAAGCCCAATGCAGACTCTAAAGGTTGCACAGTCTGGTCGCTATCTGTCCTCAATGAGACCCAGGCCCAATGCAGACTCTAAAGGTTGCACAGTCTGCTCTATATCTGTCCTCAATGAGACCTAGGACCAGTGCCGACTCTAATGGTTGCCTAGTCTGCTCTCTATCTGTCCTCAATGAGACGTAGGCCCAATGCAGACTCTAAAGGTTGCACAGTCCGGTCTCTATCTGTCCTCAATGAGACCTAGGCCCAATGCCGACTCTAAAGTTTGCACAGTGTGCTCTCTATCTGCTCTCAATGAGACCTAGGCCCAATGCAGACTCTAAAGGTTGCACAGTCTGCTCTCTAACTGCCCTCAATGAGACCTAGGCCCAATGCAGACTCTAAACGTTGCATAGTCTGGTCTCTATCTGCCCTCAATGAGACCTAGGCCCAATGCAGACTCTAGAGTTTGCACAGTCTGCTCTCTATCTGTCCTCAATGAGACCTAGGCCAAGTGCAGACTCTAAAGCTTGCACCGTCTGCTCTCTATCTGACCTCAATGAGACCTAGGCCCAATGCAGACTATAAAGTTTCTACAGTCTGCTCTCTATCTGTCCTCAATGAGACCTAGGCCCAATGCTGACTCTAAAGGTTGCACACTCTGGTCTGTTTCTGTCCTCAATGAGACCTAGGCCAAATGCAGACTCTAAAGGTTGCACAGTCTGCTCTCTAACTGTCCTCAATGAGACATAGGCCCAATGCAGACTCTAAAGGTTGCACAGTCTGCTCTCTATGTGTCCTCAATGAGACCTAGGCCCAATGCAGACTCTAAAGGTTGCATAGTATGCTCTCTATCTGTCCTCAATAAGATCTAGGCCCAATGCAGACTCTAAGGGTTGCCGAGCCTGCTCTCTATCTGCCCTCAATGAGACCTAGGCCCAATGCAGACTCTAAAGGTTGCACAGTCCGCTCTCTATCTGTCCTCAATGAGACCTAGGCCCAATAGAGACTCTAAAGGTTGCACAGTCTGCTCTCTATCTGTCCTGAATGAGACCCAGGCCCAATGCAGACTCTAAACGTTGCATAGTCTGCTCTCTATCTGTCCGCAATTAGACCTAGGCCCAATGCAGACTCTAAAGGTTGCACAGTCTGCTGTCTATCTGACCTCAAGGAGACCTAGGCCCAATGCAGACTCTAAAGGTTGCACAGTCTGGTCTCTTTCTGTCCTCAATGACACCTAGGCCCAGTGCAGACTCTAAAGTTTGCACAGTCTGCTCTCTGTCTGTCCTCAAAGAGACCTAGGCCCAGTGCAGACTCTAAAGGTTGCACAGTCTGCTCTCTATCTGTCCTCAATGAGACCTAGGCCCAATGCAGACTCTAAAGGTTGCACAGTTTGCTCTCTATCTGCCCTCAATGAGACCTAGGTCCAATGCAAACTCTAAAGTTTGCACAGTCTGGTCTCTATCTGTCCTCAATGAGACCTAGGCCCAATGCCGACTCTAGAGGTTGCACAGTGTGCTCTCTATCTGCTCTCAATGAGACCTATGCCCAATGCAGACTCTAAAGGTTGCGCAGTCTGCTCTCTAAATGCCCTCAATGAGACCTAGGCCCAATGCAGACTCTAGAGGTTGCACAGTCTGCTCTCTATCTGTCCTCAATGAGACCTAGGCCCAGTGCAGACTCTAAAGGTTGCTCAGTCTGCTCTCTATCTGTCCTCAATGAGACCCAGGCACAATGCAGACTCTAAAGGTTGCACAGTCTGCTCTATATCTGTCCTCAATGAGACCTAGGACCAGTGCCGACTCTAATGGTTGCCTAGTCTGCTCTCTATCTGTCCTGAATGAGACCTAGGCCCAATGCCGACTCTAAAGGTTGCACAGTATGCTCTCTATCTGCTCTCAATGAGACCTAGGCCCAATGCAGACTCTAAAGGTTGCACAGTCTGCTCTCTATCTGTCCTCAATGAGACCTAGGCCCAGTGCAGACTCTAAAGGTTGCACAGTCTGCTCTCTATCTGCCCTCAATGAGACCTAGGCCCAATGCAGACTCTAAAGTTTGCACAGTCTGGTCTCTATCTGTCCTCAATGAGACCCAGGCCCAATGCAGACTGTAAAGGTTGCACAGTCTGCTCTATATGTGTCCTCAATGAGACCTAGGCCCAGTGCCGACTCTAAAGGTTGCCTAGTCTGCTCTCTATCTGTCCTCAATGAGACCTAGGTCCAATGCAGTCCCTAAAGGTTGCACAGTCTGCTCTCTATTTGTCCTCAGTGAGACCCAGGCCCAATGCAGACTCTAAAGGTTGCACAGTCTGCTCTCCATCGGTCCTCAATGAGACCGAGGCCCAATTCGGACTCTAAAGGTTGCACAGTCTGCTCTCTATCTGTCTTCAATGAGACCTAGGCCCAATGCAGACTCTAAAGTTTGCACAGTCTGCTCTCTGTCTGCCCTCAATGAGCCCTAGACCCAATGCA
Organism: Homo sapiens; assembly: GCF_000001405.40. Classification (NCBI taxonomy): domain Eukaryota; kingdom Metazoa; phylum Chordata; class Mammalia; order Primates; family Hominidae; genus Homo; species Homo sapiens. The sequence goes on along the minus strand of NC_000023.11, from coordinate 41,311 downwards.
GACTCTAAAGGTTGCACAGTCTGCTCTCTATCTGTCCTCAATGAGACCTAGGCCCAATGCAGACTCTAAAGGTTGCACAGTCTGCTCTCTAACTGCCCTCAATGAGACCTAGGCCCAATGCAGACTCTAATGGTTGCACAGTCTGCTCTCTATCTGTCCTCAATGAGACTCAGGCTCAATGCAGTCTCTAAAGGTTGCACAGTCTGCTCTCTATCTGTCCTCAATGAGACCTAGGCCCAATGCAGACTCTAAAGGTTGCACCGTCTGCTCTCTATCTGCCCTCAATGAGACCTAGGCCCAATGCAGACTCTAAAGGTTGTACAGTCGGCTCTCTACCTGCCCTCATTGAGACCTAGGCCCAATGCAGACTGTAAAGGTTGCACCGTCTGTTCTCTATCTGCCCTCAATGAGACGTAGGCCCAATGCAGACTCTAAAGGTTGTGCAGTCTGCTCTCTATGTGCCCTCAATGAGACCTAGGCCCAATGCAGACTCTAAAGGTTGCACAGTCTGCTCTCTATCTGTCCTCAATGAGACCCAGGCTCAATGCAGTCTCTAAAGGTTGCACAGTGTGCTCTCTATCTGACCTCAATGAGACCTTGGCCCAATGCAGACTCTAAAGGTTGCACAGTCGGCTCTCTACCTGCCCTCAATGAGACCTAGGCCCAATGCAGATTCTAAAGGTTGCACAGTCTGCTCTCTATCGGTCCTCAATGAGACCGAGGCTCTATGCAGACTCTAAAGGTTACACAGTGTGCTCTCTATCTGTCCTCAATGAGACCCAGACCCAATGCAGACTCTAAAGTTTGCGCAGTCTGCTCTCTATCTGTCCTCAATGAGACCTAGGGCCAGTGCAGACTCTAAAGTTGCATAGTCTGCTCTCTATCAGTCCTCAGTGAGACCTAGACCTAATGCAGACTCTAAAGTTTGCAAAGTCTGCTCTCTATCTCTCCTCAGTGAGACCTAGACCCAATGCAGACTCTAAAGTTTGCACAGTATGGTCTCTATATGCCCTCAATGAGACCTAGGCCCAGTGCAGACTCGAAAGGTTGCACAGTCTGCTCTCTATCTGTCCTCAATGAGACCTAGGCTCAATGCAGACTCTAAAGGTTGCACAGTCTGCCCTCTATCTGTCCTCAATGAGACCTAGGCCCAATGCAGACTCTAAAGTTTGCACAGTCTGGTCTCTATCTGTCCTCAATGAGACCTAGGCCCAATGCCGACTCTAGAGGTTGCACAGTGTGCTCTCTATCTGCTCTCAATGAGACCTAGGCCCAATGCAGACTCTAAAGGTTGCACAGTCTGCTCTCTAACTGCCCTCAATGAGACCTAGGCCCAATGCAGACTCTAAAGGTTGCACAGTCTGTTCTCTATCTGTCCTCAATGAGACCTAGGCCAAGTGCAGACTCTAAAGCTTGCACAGTCTGCTCTCTATCTGACCTCAAAGAGACCTAGGCCCAATGCAGACTATAAAGGTTCTACAGTCTGCTCTCTATCTGTCCTCAATGAGACCTAGGCCCAATGCAGACTCTAAAGTTTGCGCACTCTGGTCTCTTTCTGTCCTCAATGAGACCTAGGCCAAATGCAGACTGTAAAGGTTGCACAGCCTGCTCTCTAACTGTCCTCAATGAGACATAGGCCCAATGCAGACTCTAAAGGTTGCACAGTCTGCTCTCTATGTGTCCTCAATGAGACCTAGGCCCAGTGCAGACTCTAAAGGTTGCATAGTATGCTCTCTATCTGTCCTCAATGAGATCTAGGCCCAATGCAGACTCTAAGGGTTCCCGAGCCTGCTCTCTATCTGCCCTCAATGAGACCTAGGCCCAATGCAGACTCTAAAGGTTGCACAGTCCTCTCCCTATCTGTCCTCAATGAGACCTAGGCCCAATAGAGACTCTAAAGGTTGCACAGTCTGCTCTCTATCTGTCCTCAATGAGACCCAGGCCCAATGCAGACTCTAAACGTTGCATAGTCTGCTCTCTATCTGTCCGCAATTAGACCTAGGCCCAATGCAGACTCTAAACGTTGCACAGTCTGCTGTCTATCTGTCCGCAATTAGACCTAGGCCCAATGCAGACTCTAAAGGTTGCAGATTCTGCTGTCTATCTGACCTCAAGGAGACCTAGGCCCAATGCAGACTCTAAAGGTTGCACAGTCTGGTCTCTATCTGTCCTCAATGACACCTAGGCCCAGTGCAGACTCTAAAGTTTGCACAGTCTGCTCTCTGTCTGTCCTCAAAGAGACCTAGGCCCAGTGCAGACTCTAAAGGTTGCACAGTCTCCTCTCTATCTGTCCTCACTGATACCTAGGCCCAATGCAGACTCTAAAGGTTGCACAGTCTGTTCTCTATTTGTCCTCAATGAGACCCAGGCCCAATGCAGAGTCTAAAGGTTGCACAGTCTGCTCTCTATCGGTCCTCAATGAGACCTAGGCCCAATGCAGACTCTAAAGGTTGCACAGTCTGCTCTCTATCTGCCCTCAATGAGACCTAGGCCCAATGCAAACTCTAAAGGTTGCACAGTCTGGTCTCTATCTGTCCTCAATGAGACCTAGGCCCAATGCGGACTCTAAAGGTTGCACAGTGTGCTCTCCATCTGTCCTCAATGAGACCTAGGCCAAATGCAGACTCTAAAGGTTGCACAGTCTGCTCTCTATGTGTCCTCAATCAGACCTAGGCCCAGTGCAGACTCTAAAGTTTGCACAGTCTGCTCTCTATCGGCCCTCAATGAGACCTAGGCCCAATGCAGACTGTAAAGGTTGCACAGTCTGCTCTCTATCTGCTCTCAAGAGACCTAGGCCCAATGCAAACTCTAAAGGTTGCACATTCTGGTCTCTATCTCTCCTGAATGAGACCCAGGCCCAATGCAGACTGTAAAGGTTGCACAGTCTGCTCTCTATCTGTCCTCAATGAGACCTAGGCCCAGTGCAGACTGTAAAGTTTGCATAGTCTGCTCTCTATCTGTCCTCAGTGAGACCTAGGTCCAATGCAGACTCTAAATGTTGCACAGTCTGCTCTCTATCTGTCCTCGATGAGACCTAGCCCTAGTGCAGACTCTAAAGGTTGCACAGTCTGCTCTCTATCTGCCCTCAATGAGACCTAGGCCCAATGCAGACTCTAAAGGTTGCACAGTCGGCTCTCCATTTTTCCTCAATGAGACCCAGGCCCAATGCAGACTCTAAAGGTTGCACAGTCTGCTCTCTATCGGTCCTCAATGAGACCGAGGCCCTATGCAAACTCTAAAGGTTACACAGTGTGCTCTCTATCTGTCCTCAGTGAGACCTAGGCCCAATGCAGACTCTAAAGTTTGCGCAGTCTGCTCTCTATCTGTCCTCAATGAGACCTAGGGCCAGGCAGACTCTAAAGTTGCATAGTCTGCTCTCTATCAGTCCTCAGTGAGACCTAGACCTAATGCAGACTCTGAAGTTTGCAAAGTCTGCTCTCTATCTCTCCTCAGTGAGACCTAGACCCAATGCAGACTCTAAAGTTTGCACAGTATGGTCTCTATATGCCCTCAATGAGACCTAGGCCCAGTGCAGACTCTAAAGTTTGCAAAGTCTGCTCTCTATCTGTCCTCAATGAGACCTAGGCCCAATGCAGACTCTAAAGGTTGCACAGTCTGCCCTCTATCTGTCCTCAATGAGACCTAGGCCCAATGCAGACTCTAAAGTTTGCACAGTCTGGTCTCTATCTGTCCTCAATGAGACCTAGGCCCAATGCCGACTCTAGAGTTTGCACAGTGTGCTCTCTATCTGCTCTCAATGAGACCTAGGCCCAATGCAGACTCTAAAGTTTGCACAGTCTGCTCTCTAACTGCCCTCAATGAGACCTAGGCCCAATGCAGACTCTAAAGGTTGCACAGTCTGTTCTCTATCTGTCCTCAATGAGACCTAGGACAAGTGCAGACTCTAAAGCTTGCACAGTCTGCTCTCTATCTGACCTCAATGAGACCTAGGCCCAATGCAGACTATAAAGGTTCTACAGTCTGCTCTCTATCTGTCCTCAATGAGACCTAGGCCCAATGCAGACTCTAAAGTTTGCACACTCTGGTCTCTTTCTGTCCTCAATGAGACCTAGGCCAAATGCAGACTCTAAAGGTTGCACAGTCTGCTCTCTAACTGTCCTCAATGAGACATAGGCCCAATGCAGACTCTAAAGGTTGCACAGTCTGCTCTCTATGTGTCCTCAATGAGACCTAGGCCCAGTGCAGACTCTAAAGGTTGCATAGCATGCTCTCTATCTGTCCTCAATGATATCTAGGCCCAATGCAGACTCTAAGGGTTGCCGAGCCTGCTCTCTATCTGCCCTCAATGAGACCTAGGCCCAATGCAGACTCTAAAGGTTGCACAGTCCGCTCCCTATCTGTCCTCAATGAGACCTAGGCCCAATAGAGACCCTAAAGGTTGCACAGTCTGCTCTCTATCTGTCCTCAATGAGACCCAGGCCCAATGCAGACTCTAAACGTTGCATAGTCTGCTCTCTATCTGTCCGCAATTAGACCTAGGCCCAATGCAGACTCTAAACGTTGCACAGTCTGCTGTCTATCTGTCCGCAATTAGACCTAGGCCCAATGCAGACTCTAAAGGTTGCAGAGTCTGCTGTCTGTCTGACCTCAAGGAGACCTAGGCCCAATGCAGACTCTAAAGGTTGCACAGTCTGGTCTCTATCTGTCCTCAATGACACCTAGGCCCAGTGCAGACTCTAAAGTTTGCACATTCTGCTCTCTGTCTGTCCTCAAAGAGACCTAGGGCCAGTGCAGACTCTAAAGGTTGCACAGTCTCCTCTCTATTTGTCCTCACTGATACCTAGGCCCATTGTAGACTCTAAAGGTTGCACAGTCTGCCCTCTATCTGTCATCAATGAGACCTAGGCCCAATGCAGACTCTAAAGTTTCAACAGTCTGGTCTCTATCTGTCCTCAATGAGACCTAGGCCCAATGCCGACTCTAGAGGTTGCACAGTGTGCTCTCTATCTGCTCTCAATGAGACCTAGGCCCAATGCAGACTCTAAAGGTTGCACAGTCTGCTCTCTAACTGCCCTCAATGAGACCTAAGCCCAATGCAGACTCTAAAGGTTGCACAGTCTGGTCGCTATCTGTCCTCAATGAGACCCAGGCCCAATGCAGACTCTAAAGGTTGCACAGTCTGCTCTATATCTGTCCTCAATGAGACCTAGGACCAGTGCCGACTCTAATGGTTGCCTAGTCTGCTCTCTATCTGTCCTCAATGAGACGTAGGCCCAATGCAGACTCTAAAGGTTGCACAGTCCGGTCTCTATCTGTCCTCAATGAGACCTAGGCCCAATGCCGACTCTAAAGTTTGCACAGTGTGCTCTCTATCTGCTCTCAATGAGACCTAGGCCCAGTGCAGACTCTAAAGGTTGCACAGTCTGCTCTGTATCGGTCCATAATGAGACCTAGGCCCAATGCAGACTCTAAAGGTTGCACAGTCTGCCCTCTATCTGTCCTCAATGAGACCTAGGCCCAATGCAGACTCTAAAGTTTGCACAGTCTGGTCTCTATCTGTCCTCAATGAGACCTAGGCCCAATGCCGACTCTAGAGGTTGCACAGTGTGCTCTCTATCTGCTCTCAATGAGACCTAGGCCCAATGCAGACTCTAAAGGTTGCGCAGTCTGCTCTCTAAATGCCCTCAATGAGACCTAGGCCCAATGCAGACTCTAGAGGTTGCACAGTCTGCTCTCTATCTGTCCTCAATGAGACCTAGGCCCAGTGCAGACTCTAAAGGTTGCACAGTCTGCTCTCTATCTGTCCTCAATGAGACCCAGGCACAATGCAGACTCTAAAGGTTGCACAGTCTGCTCTATATCTGTCCTCAATGAGACCTAGGACCAGTGCCGACTCTAATGGTTGCCTAGTCTGCTCTCTATCTGTCCTCAATGAGACCTAGGCCCAATGCAGACTCTAAAGGTTGCACAGTCTGGTCTCTATCTGTCCTCAATGAGACCTAGGCCCAATGCCGACTCTAAAGGTTGCACAGTATGCTCTCTATCTGCTCTCAATGAGACCTAGGCCCAATGCAGACTCTAAAGGTTGCACAGTCTGCTCTCTATCTGTCCTCAATGAGACCTAGGCCCAGTGCAGACTCTAAAGGTTGCACAGTCTGCTCTCTATCTGCCCTCAATGAGACCTAGGCCCAATGCAGACTCTAAAGGTTGCACAGTCTGGTCTCTATCTGTCCTCAATGAGACCCAGGCCCAATGCAGACTGTAAAGGTTGCACAGTCTGCTCTATATGTGTCCTCAATGAGACCTAGGCCCAGTGCCGACTCTAAAGGTTGCCTAGTCTGCTCTCTATCTGTCCTCAATGAGACCTAGGTCCAATGCAGTCCCTAAAGGTTGCACAGTCTGCTCTCTATTTGTCCTCAGTGAGACCCAGGCCCAATGCAGACTCTAAAGGTTGCACAGTCTGCTCTCCATCGGTCCTCAATGAGACCGAGGCCCAATTCGGACTCTAAAGGTTGCACAGTCTGCTCTCTATCTGTCTTCAATGAGACCTAGGCCCAATGCAGACTCTAAAGTTTGCACAGTCTGCTCTCTGTCTGCCCTCAATGAGCCCTAGACCCAATGCAGACTCTAAAGGTTGCACAGTCTGCTCTCTATCTGTCCTCAATGAGACCTAGGCCCAATGCAGACTCTAAAGGTTGCACAGTCTGCTCTCTATGTGCCCTCAATGAGACCTAGGCCCAATGCAGACTCTAATGGTTGCACAGTCTGCTCTCTATCTGTCCTCAATGAGACTCAGGCTCAATGCAGTCTCTAAAGGTTGCACAGTCTGCTCTCTATCTGTCCTCAATGAGACCTAGGCCCAATGCAGACTCTAAAGGTTGCACCGTCTGCTCTCTATCTGCCCTCAATGAGACCTAGGCCCAATGCAGACTCTAAAGGTTGTACAGTCGGCTCTCTACCTGCCCTCATTGAGACCTAGGCCCAATGCAGACTGTAAAGGTTGCACCGTCTGTTCTCTATCTGCCCTCAATGAGACGTAGGCCCAATGCAGACTCTAAAGGTTGTGCAGTCTGCTCTCTATGTGCCCTCAATGAGACCTAGGCCCAATGCAGACTCTAAAGGTTGCACAGTCTGCTCTCTATCTGTCCTCAATGAGACCCAGGCTCAATGCAGTCTCTAAAGGTTGCACAGTGTGCTCTCTATCTGACCTCAATGAGACCTTGGCCCAATGCAGACTCTAAAGGTTGCACAGTCGGCTCTCTACCTGCCCTCAATGAGACCTAGGCCCAATGCAGATTCTAAAGGTTGCACAGTCTGCTCTCTATCGGTCCTCAATGAGACCGAGGCTCTATGCAGACTCTAAAGGTTACACAGTGTGCTCTCTATCTGTCCTCAATGAGACCTAGACCCAATGCAGACTCTAAAGTTTGCGCAGTCTGCTCTCTATCTGTCCTCAATGAGACCTAGGGCCAGTGCAGACTCTAAAGTTGCATAGTCTGCTCTCTATCAGTCCTCAGTGAGACCTAGACCTAATGCAGACTCTAAAGTTTGCAAAGTCTGCTCTCTATCTCTCCTCAGTGAGACCTAGACCCAATGCAGACTCTAAAGTTTGCACAGTATGGTCTCTATATGCCCTCAATGAGACCTAGGCCCAGTGCAGACTCGAAAGGTTGCACAGTCTGCTCTCTATCTGTCCTCAATGAGACCTAGGCTCAATGCAGACTCTAAAGGTTGCACAGTCTGCCCTCTATCTGTCCTCAATGAGACCTAGGCCCAATGCAGACTCTAAAGTTTGCACAGTCTGGTCTCTATCTGTCCTCAATGAGACCTAGGCCCAATGCCGACTCTAGAGGTTGCACAGTGTGCTCTCTATCTGCTCTCAATGAGACCTAGGCCCAATGCAGACTCTAAAGGTTGCACAGTCTGCTCTCTAACTGCCCTCAATGAGACCTAGGCCCAATGCAGACTCTAAAGGTTGCACAGTCTGTTCTCTATCTGTCCTCAATGAGACCTAGGCCAAGTGCAGACTCTAAAGCTTGCACAGTCTGCTCTCTATCTGACCTCAATGAGACCTAGGCCCAATGCAGACTATAAAGGTTCTACAGTCTGCTCTCTATCTGTCCTCAATGAGACCTAGGCCCAATGCAGACTCTAAAGTTTGCGCACTCTGGTCTCTTTCTGTCCTCAATGAGACCTAGGCCAAATGCAGACTGTAAAGGTTGCACAGCCTGCTCTCTAACTGTCCTCAATGAGACATAGGCCCAATGCAGACTCTAAAGGTTGCACAGTCTGCTCTCTATGTGTCCTCAATGAGACCTAGGCCCAGTGCAGACTCTAAAGGTTGCATAGTATGCTCTCTATCTGTCCTCAATGAGATCTAGGCCCAATGCAGACTCTAAGGGTTCCCGAGCCTGCTCTCTATCTGCCCTCAATGAGACCTAGGCCCAATGCAGACTCTAAAGGTTGCACAGTCCTCTCCCTATCTGTCCTCAATGAGACCTAGGCCCAATAGAGACTCTAAAGGTTGCACAGTCTGCTCTCTATCTGTCCTCAATGAGACCCAGGCCCAATGCAGACTCTAAACGTTGCATAGTCTGCTCTCTATCTGTCCGCAATTAGACCTAGGCCCAATGCAGACTCTAAACGTTGCACAGTCTGCTGTCTATCTGTCCGCAATTAGACCTAGGCCCAATGCAGACTCTAAAGGTTGCAGATTCTGCTGTCTATCTGACCTCAAGGAGACCTAGGCCCAATGCAGACTCTAAAGGTTGCACAGTCTGGTCTCTATCTGTCCTCAATGACACCTAGGCCCAGTGCAGACTCTAAAGTTTGCACAGTCTGCTCTCTGTCTGTCCTCAAAGAGACCTAGGCCCAGTGCAGACTCTAAAGGTTGCACAGTCTCCTCTCTATCTGTCCTCACTGATACCTAGGCCCAATGCAGACTCTAAAGGTTGCACAGTCTGTTCTCTATTTGTCCTCAATGAGACCCAGGCCCAATGCAGAGTCTAAAGGTTGCACAGTCTGCTCTCTATCGGTCCTCAATGAGACCTAGGCCCAATGCAGACTCTAAAGGTTGCACAGTCTGCTCTCTATCTGCCCTCAATGAGACCTAGGCCCAATGCAAACTCTAAAGGTTGCACAGTCTGGTCTCTATCTGTCCTCAATGAGACCTAGGCCCAATGCGGACTCTAAAGGTTGCACAGTGTGCTCTCCATCTGTCCTCAATGAGACCTAGGCCAAATGCAGACTCTAAAGGTTGCACAGTCTGCTCTCTATGTGTCCTCAATCAGACCTAGGCCCAGTGCAGACTCTAAAGTTTCCACAGTCTGCTCTCTATCGGCCCTCAATGAGACCTAGGCCCAATGCAGACTGTAAAGGTTGCACAGTCTGCTCTCTATCTGCTCTCAAGAGACCTAGGCCCAATGCAAACTCTAAAGGTTGCACATTCTGGTCTCTATCTCTCCTGAATGAGACCCAGGCCCAATGCAGACTGTAAAGGTTGCACAGTCTGCTCTCTATCTGTCCTCAATGAGACCTAGGCCCAGTGCAGACTGTAAAGTTTGCATAGTCTGCTCTCTATCTGTCCTCAGTGAGACCTAGGTCCAATGCAGACTCTAAATGTTGCACAGTCTGCTCTCTATCTGTCCTCGATGAGACCTAGCCCTAGTGCAGACTCTAAAGGTTGCACAGTCTGCTCTCTATCTGCCCTCAATGAGACCTAGGCCCAATGCAGACTCTAAAGGTTGCACAGTCTGCTCTCTGTTTTTCCTCAATGAGACCCAGGCCCAATGCAGACTCTAAAGGTTGCACAGTCTGCTCTCTATCGGTCCTCAATGAGACCGAGGCCCTTTGCAAACTCTAAAGGTTACACAGTGTGCTCTCTATCTGTCCTCAGTGAGACCTAGGCCCAATGCAGACTCTAAAGTTTGCGCAGTCTGCTCTCTATCTGTCCTCAATGAGACCTAGGGCCAGGCAGACTCTAAAGTTGCATAGTCTGCTCTCTATCAGTCCTCAGTGAGACCTAGACCTAATGCAGACTCTGAAGTTTGCAAAGTCTGCTCTCTATCTCTCCTCAGTGAGACCTAGACCCAATGCAGACTCTAAAGTTTGCACAGTATGGTCTCTATATGCCCTCAATGAGACCTAGGCCCAGTGCAGACTCTAAAGTTTGCAAAGTCTGCTCTCTATCTGTCCTCAATGAGACCTAGGCCCAATGCAGACTCTAAAGGTTGCACAGTCTGCCCTCTATCTGTCCTCAATGAGACCTAGGCCCAATGCAGACTCTAAAGTTTGCACAGTCTGGTCTCTATCTGTCCTCAATGAGACCTAGGCCCAATGCCGACTCTAGAGTTTGCACAGTGTGCTCTCTATCTGCTCTCAATGAGACCTAGGCCCAATGCAGACTCTAAAGTTTGCACAGTCTGCTCTCTAACTGCCCTCAATGAGACCTAGGCCCAATGCAGACTCTAAAGGTTGCACAGTCTGTTCTCTATCTGTCCTCAATGAGACCTAGGACAAGTGCAGACTCTAAAGCTTGCACAGTCTGCTCTCTATCTGACCTCAATGAGACCTAGGCCCAATGCAGACTATAAAGGTTCTACAGTCTGCTCTCTATCTGTCCTCAATGAGACCTAGGCCCAATGCAGACTCTAAAGTTTGCACACTCTGGTCTCTTTCTGTCCTCAATGAGACCTAGGCCAAATGCAGACTCTAAAGGTTGCACAGTCTGCTCTCTAACTGTCCTCAATGAGACATAGGCCCAATGCAGACTCTAAAGGTTGCACAGTCTGCTCTCTATGTGTCCTCAATGAGACCTAGGCCCAGTGCAGACTCTAAAGGTTGCATAGCATGCTCTCTATCTGTCCTCAATGATATCTAGGCCCAATGCAGACTCTAAGGGTTGCCGAGCCTGCTCTCTATCTGCCCTCAATGAGACCTAGGCCCAATGCAGACTCTAAAGGTTGCACAGTCCGCTCCCTATCTGTCCTCAATGAGACCTAGGCCCAATAGAGACCCTAAAGGTTGCACAGTCTGCTCTCTATCTGTCCTCAATGAGACCCAGGCCCAATGCAGACTCTAAACGTTGCATAGTCTGCTCTCTATCTGTCCGCAATTAGACCTAGGCCCAATGCAGACTCTAAACGTTGCACAGTCTGCTGTCTATCTGTCCGCAATTAGACCTAGGCCCAATGCAGACTCTAAAGGTTGCAGAGTCTGCTGTCTGTCTGACCTCAAGGAGACCTAGGCCCAATGCAGACTCTAAAGGTTGCACAGTCTGGTCTCTATCTGTCCTCAATGAGACCTAGGCCCAGTGCAGACTCTAAAGTTTGCACATTCTGCTCTCTGTCTGTCCTCAAAGAGACCTAGGGCCAGTGCAGACTCTAAAGGTTGCACAGTCTCCTCTCTATTTGTCCTCACTGATACCTAGGCCCATTGTAGACTCTAAAGGTTGCACAGTCTGCCCTCTATCTGTCCTCAATGAGACCTAGGCCCAATGCAGACTCTAAAGTTTCAACAGTCTGGTCTCTATCTGTCCTCAATGAGACCTAGGCCCAATGCCGACTCTAGAGGTTGCACAGTGTGCTCTCTATCTGCTCTCAATGAGACCTAGGCCCAATGCAGACTCTAAAGGTTGCACAGTCTGCTCTCTAACTGCCCTCAATGAGACCTAAGCCCAATGCAGACTCTAAAGGTTGCACAGTCTGGTCGCTATCTGTCCTCAATGAGACCCAGGCCCAATGCAGACTCTAAAGGTTGCACAGTCTGCTCTATATCTGTCCTCAATGAGACCTAGGACCAGTGCCGACTCTAATGGTTGCCTAGTCTGCTCTCTATCTGTCCTCAATGAGACGTAGGCCCAATGCAGACTCTAAAGGTTGCACAGTCCGGTCTCTATCTGTCCTCAATGAGACCTAGGCCCAATGCCGACTCTAAAGTTGGCACAGTGTGCTCTCTATCTGCTCTCAATGAGACCTAGGCCCAATGCAGACTCTAAAGGTTGCACAGTCTGCTCTCTAACTGCCCTCAATGAGACCTAGGCCCAATGCAGACTCTAAACGTTGCATAGTCTGGTCTCTATCTGCCCTCAATGAGACCTAGGCCCAATGCAGACTCTAGAGTTTGCACAGTCTGCTCTCTATCTGTCCTCAATGAGACCTAGGCCAAGTGCAGACTCTAAAGCTTGCACAGTCTGCTCTCTATCTGACCTCAATGAGACCTAGGCCCAATGCAGACTATAAAGTTTCTACAGTCTGCTCTCTATCTGTCCTCAATGAGACCTAGGCCCAATGCTGACTCTAAAGGTTGCACACTCTGGTCTGTTTCTGTCCTCAATGAGACCTAGGCCAAATGCAGACTCTAAAGCTTGCACAGTCTGCTCTCTAACTGTCCTCAATGAGACATAGGCCCAATGCAGACTCTAAAGGTTGCACAGTCTGCTCTCTATGTGTCCTCAATGAGACCTAGGCCCAATGCAGACTCTAAAGGTTGCATAGTATGCTCTCTATCTGTCCTCAATAAGATCTAGGCCCAATGCAGACTCTAAGGGTTGCCGAGCCTGCTCTCTATCTGCCCTCAATGAGACCTAGGCCCAATGCAGACTCTAAAGGTTGCACAGTCCGCTCTCTATCTGTCCTCAATGAGACCTAGGCCCAATAGAGACTCTAAAGGTTGCACAGTCTGCTCTCTATCTGTCCTGAATGAGACCCAGGCCCAATGCAGACTCTAAACGTTGCATAGTCTGCTCTCTATCTGTCCGCAATTAGACCTAGGCCCAATGCAGACTCTAAAGGTTGCACAGTCTGCTGTCTATCTGACCTCAAGGAGACCTAGGCCCAATGCAGACTCTAAAGGTTGCACAGTCTGGTCTCTTTCTGTCCTCAATGACACCTAGGCCCAGTGCAGACTCTAAAGTTTGCACAGTCTGCTCTCTGTCTGTCCTCAAAGAGACCTAGGCCCAGTGCAGACTCTAAAGGTTGCACAGTCTGCTCTCTATCTGTCCTCAATGAGACCTAGGCCCAATGCAGACTCTAAAGGTTGCACAGTTTGCTCTCTATCTGCCCTCAATGAGACCTAGGTCCAATGCAAACTCTAAAGGTTGCACAGTCTGGTCTCTATCTGTCTTCAATGAGACCCAGGCCCAATGCAGACTCTAAAGATTGCACAGTCTGCTCTCTATCGGTCCTCAATGAGACCGAGGCCCTATGCAGACTCTAAAGGTTACACAGTGTGCTCTCTATCTGCCCTCAATGAGACCTAGGCCCAGTGCAGACTCTAAAGGTTGCACAGTCTGCTCTGTATCGGTCCACAATGAGACCTAGGCCCAATGCAGACTCTAAAGGTTGCACAGTCTGCCCTCTATCTGTCCTCAATGAGACCTAGGCCCAATGCAGACTCTAAAGTTTGCACAGTCTGGTCTCTATCTGTCCTCAATGAGACCTAGGCCCAATGCCGACTCTAGTGGTTGCACAGTGTGCTCTCTATCTGCTCTCAATGAGACCTAGGCCCAATGCAGACTCTAAAGGTTGCGCAGTCTGCTCTCTAAATGCCCTCAATGAGACCTAGGCCCAATGCAGACTCTAGAGGTTGCACAGTCTGCTCTCTATCTGTCCTCAATGAGACCTAGGCCCAGTGCAGACTCTAAAGGTTGCACAGTCTGCTCTCTATCTGTCCTCAATGAGACCCAGGCACAATGCAGACTCTAAAGGTTGCACAGTCTGCTCTATATCTGTCCTCAATGAGACCTAGGACCAGTGCCGACTCTAATGGTTGCCTAGTCTGCTCTCTATCTGTCCTCAATGAGACCTAGGCCCAATGCAGACTCTAAAGGTTGCACAGTCTGGTCTCTATCTGTCCTCAATGAGACCTAGGCCCAATGCCGACTCTAAAGGTTGCACAGTATGCTCTCTATCTGCTCTCAATGAGACCTAGGCCCAATGCAGACTCTAAAGGTTGCACAGTCTGCTCTCTATCTGTCCTCAATGAGACCTAGGCCCAGTGCAGACTCTAAAGGTTGCACAGTCTGCTCTCTATCTGCCCTCAATGAGACCTAGGCCCAATGCAGACTCTAAAGGTTGCACAGTCTGGTCTCTATCTGTCCTCAATGAGACCCAGGCCCAATGCAGACTGTAAAGGTTGCACAGTCTGCTCTATATGTGTCCTCAATGAGACCTAGGCCCAGTGCCGACTCTAAAGGTTGCCTAGTCTGCTCTCTATCTGTCCTCAATGAGACCTAGGTCCAATGCAGTCCCTAAAGGTTGCACAGTCTGCTCTCTATTTGTCCTCAGTGAGACCCAGGCCCAATGCAGACTCTAAAGGTTGCACAGTCTGCTCTCCATCGGTCCTCAATGAGACCGAGGCCCAATTCGGACTCTAAAGGTTGCACAGTCTGCTCTCTATCTGTCTTCAATGAGACCTAGGCCCAATGCTGACTCTAAAGTTTGCACAGTCTGCTCTCTGTCTGCCCTCAGTGGGCCCTAGACCCAATGCAGACTCTAAAGGTTGCACAGTCTGCTCTCTATCTGTCCTCAATGAGACCTAGGCCCAATGCAGACTCTAAAGGTTGCACAGTCTGCTCTCTATGTGCCCTCAATGAGACCTAGGCCCAATGCAGACTCTAATGGTTGCACAGTCTGCTCTCTATCTGTCCTCAATGAGACTCAGGCTCAATGCAGTCTCTAAAGGTTGCACAGTCTGCTCTCTATCTGTCCTCAATGAGACCTAGGCCCAATGCAGACTCTAAAGGTTGCACCGTCTGCTCTCTATCTGCCCTCAATGAGACCTAGGCCCAATGCAGACTCTAAAGGTTGTACAGTCGGCTCTCTACCTGCCCTCAATGAGACCTAGGCCCAATGCAGACTGTAAAGGTTGCACCGTCTGTTCTCTATCTGCCCTCAATGAGACGTAGGCCCAATGCAGACTCTAAAGGTTGCACAGTCTGCTCTCTATCTGTCCTCAATGAGACCCAGGCTCAATGCAGTCTCTAAAGGTTGCACAGTGTGCTCTCTATCTGACCTCAATGAGACCTTGGCCCAATGCAGACTCTAAAGGTTGCACAGTCGGCTCTCTACCTGCCCTCAATGAGACCTAGGCCCAATGCAGATTCTAAAGGTTGCACAGTCTGGTCTCTATCTGCCCTTAATGAGACCTACACTCCCAGGAGTCTGCAGAACAGGGTGTGTGTAAGTTTTCTGGGGCCGCTCAAGGAAACGGGGGATTAAAAAATATTATCCTCACAGTGCTGGCATGTTGGCCTACACAGAGCCCTGCTCGCCGTGAACGTCAGGACTTCCTGCGTGATCTCTTCAAGTCCGATTGGGAGCCCTTTGACTCGTCCCCTGTCTGTGCTGGAGAATTCAGAGCCCACTGACTCATCTTTCTTTGTGGCCTGGGAGAGTTGTGGAGAACATGCTGTACCTTCGCGGTGCCGCACGGATCTTCCTGCTCCCTCCCTCGGGAGTCTCGCAGGGACCCCATCTCGTTTTAATGTTTTGTCAATACGGCACCCACGAGAACGTTGCAGGGAAGACACCACTGTGGCCGTAAACCACAGAAACTAGAGCTGAAGTGGCCCCAGGTGGCCTCCAGTCAAGCAGTATCCAAATTCTTCACCCTGAGGCCCTTTATTTATTATTATTATTATTAGAGACGGAGTTTCGCTCTTGTTACCCAGGCTGGAGTGCAATGGTGTGATATCAGCTCACCGCAACCTCCGCCTCCCGGGTTCAAGCAATTCTCTGGCCTCAGCCTCCCAAGTAGCTGGGATTACAGGTGGGCGCCACCACGCCTGGCTAATTTTTTGTATTTTTAGAGATGGGGATTCTCTATGTTGGTCAGGCTGGTCTCGAACTCCCAACCTCAGGTGAGCTGCTGGCCTTGGCCTCCCAAAGTGCTGGGATTACAGGCGTGCACCACCACACCCAGCCCTATCTTATTCTTTTTCTCTCACCAGGGACCCCAAATTTGGAAGAACCATAATCATGTTTATTGACATTATGTTAAATTAAGGTTCCCACGTTTATTAATAAAAGAAATATATCATTAGCCTGGCCTTTTAAATTTTTCTTAATTTAATTTTTTTTTTTTTTTGAGGCAGGGTCTCACTCTGTCACCCAGGCTGGAGTGCAATGGTACCATCATGGCTCACCACAGCCCCCCGCTCCTAGGCTCAAGCAATCCTCTTGCCTCAGCCTCCTGAGTATCTGGGGATTATAGGTGCACACCATCACACTCAGCCAATTAAAAAAAAATTTCTAGTAGAGATGGGGTCTCACCAAGTTGTCCAGGCTGGTCTCACACTTCTGAGCTCAAGTAATCGTCCTGCTTTGGCCTCCCAAAGTGCTCGGATTACAGGGGTAAGCTACCACATTCAGCCTTTATTTTTATTTTTAATGGAGGTAAAAGCCACATAACATAAAATTTACCCTTTCAACTACTTCTTTTTTTTAGATGGAGGCTTGCTCTGTTGCCCAGGCTGGAGTGCAGTGGCACAATCTCAGCTCACTTCAACCTCTACCTCCCGGGTTCAAGTGATTCCCCTGCCTCAGCCTCCCAAGTAGCTGGGATCACAGGCACCCGCCACCACACCTGGCAAATTTTTTGTATTTTAGTAGAGACGGGGTTTCACTGTGTTGGCCAAGACGGTGTCGATCTCCTGACCTCGTGATCCGCCTGCCTCGGCCTCCCAAAGTGCTGGGATTACAGGCATGAGCCACCGCGCCCGGCCCCTTTAAAGTATTTTTAAGGATACACTTCAGCAGTGTTCATCATATCCGCATTGTTGTATAACAGATGTTTACAACTTCTTCATCTTACAAAACAGAAACTGTGTCCACATCAAACCAGGGTGCCCCATTCCCCCGGCCCCTGGCACCCACCATTCTACTGTCTGTCTCTATGAATTCCACTCTTCCAGAGACCTCATAGGAGTGGGATCACACAGCACTTTTTTGTCTGGCTTATCTTGTTAACAACAGGTGAGTCCATGTGGTAGCCTGTCTCATCATTCCTTCCTTTTTAGGGCTGATTCATATTTCATTATATGGATGAACCACATTTTCTTTTTCCAGTCATGCTGTAACAGGATGAGTCACAGTCAAAACTCCTCAGACACCAGATTAAAGAAGGAAGAGGTTTTTTTATTTGGCCGGGAGATTCGGCAGACTCGTGTCTTAAGAGCCGAGCTCCCCGAAAAAGAAATTCCTAGCCCTTTTAAGGGCTAAGAACTCTAAGGGGTCTATGTGAAAGAGTCATAATAGATCAAGTAAGTGTGAGGAACGTGAGTGGGGGCTACATACATCAGCTAAGAGAACAAAAAGTTTTTATTTTTTTATTTTTTTTGAGACGGAATCTCGCTCTGTGGCCCAGGCTGGAGTGCAGTGGCGTGATCTCAGCTCACTGCAAGCTCCGCCTCCCGGGTTCACACCATTCTCCTGCCTCAGCCTCCCCAGTAGCTGGGACTACAGGCGCCCGCCACCGCGCCCGGCTAATTTTTTGTATTTTTAGTAGACACGGGGTTTCATCATGTTAACCAGGATGGTCTCGATCTCCTGACCTTGTGATCCACCCGCCTCGGCCTCCCAAAGTGCTGGGATTAGAGGCTGGAGCCACCGTGCCCGGCCTGCACCCAGCTAATTTTTTGTATTTTTAGTAGAGATGGGGTTTCACCGTGTTAGCCAGGATGGTCTCAATCTCCTGACCTCATGATCCTCCCACCTCGGCCTCCCAAAGTCCTGGGATTACAGGCGTGAGCCACCGCGCCCGGCCAGAACAAAAAGTTTTACAGTGCTTTCTCATACAATGTCTGGAATTTACAGATAGCACCAGTAGTTTTGGTCAGCGGTTAATACTATTATTATTTTAATCACCAGGGCCAGGTGGTGGCACCAAGGTCGTCTAGCTATTTATCTTACTTTTGTTTCTTTCCAACTTTTTGCTTTCTCTCTTTTCTCTTGTCTTATAAACTAGGGAAAAGGGGAGGTTGGGGAGAAAGTGGGAAGGACAACAGGAGAAGTGGTGGTGTCATAACATAATGCGATCATGGGCACCGGGCTGCTTCCATCTTTTGGCTATTGTGAATACTGCTGTAACGACCACGGTTGTGCAATAATCCCTTCCAGACTCTGCTTTCAATCTTTTTGGATTTAGTCGGAGAAGTAATGTGATTGCTGGTTCATAGGTGGTTCCATTTCTGGTTATTTATTTATTTTTTAAGAGACAGAGTTTTATATGTTGCCCAGGCTGGCCTTGAACTCCTGGGCTTCAGTGATCCCCTTCCCTCAGCCTCCCAAGTAGCCGGTAGTGCAGCTGCACATCACCACACCCAAGTGATTTTTAGTTGTTATTTTTCTGGTTTTGTTTTTGCGGAGATGGAGTTTCACTGTGCCGCCCAGGGTGGAGTGCGGTGGCATAATCGGCTCACTGCAGCCTCCACCTCCTGGTTCAGGCGCTTCTCCTGCCTTAGCCTCCCGAGTAGCTGGGACTATAGGCATCTGTCACCACACTTAGCTAATTATTTTGTGTTTGCTTCCCCCCACCCCGCCCCCCCGAGATGGAGTCTTCCTTTGTCACCCAGGCTGGAGTGCAGTGGCGCGATCTCGGCTCAATGCAACCTCTGCCTCCGGGGTTCAAGCAATTCTCCTGCCTCAGCCTCCCGGGTAGCTGGGATTCCTGGCACCCACAACCACGCCCGGCTAATTTTTTATTTTTAGTAGAGACGGAGTTTCACCATGTTGGCCAGGCTGGTCTCGAACTCCTGACTTTGTGATCCACCTGCCTCGGGCTCCCAAAGTGCTGGGATGACAGGTGTGAGCCACTGTGCCCAGCCTGATATTTAGTGCTTTTTTGAGGAGGCTCCATAGTGTTTTCCACGGTGGCCACACCATTTTCTAGTCCTACAGGCAATCCACGAGGGCTCCAATTTCCACACATCCTTGTTAACACTATTTTTGTTTCACTGTAGCATTTCATGGATGTGAGGTGCTATCACTGTGGTTTTGATGTGTATTTCTCTAATGATTACTGATGTTGAGGATCCTTCCATGTTTGTTTGCTACTTGTATATCTTTTCTGGAGAAATATCTATTCAGGTCGTTTGCTCATTTTTCAATCAGTTAACTTGTTTTTCAATTGTTCAGTTGCAGGAGCTCTTTATATGTGCTGGACGAATATCCGACGTACCAGACATATAATCTGCAGTTATTTCCTCTTATTCCATGTCTTGCCTTTTCACTGTTGTTTCCTGTGCAGAAATGTTTAACCTCGAAGTTGGACCATTTGTCTATTTGTGCTTTTGTTGCCTGTGCTTATCTGGGCTTTGGATAGGCCAGAGGTAAACGGCAGGTGTTACTGCACCAAGTTCATAAAATCGAGCCCAAAACAAAGGAGTCGACACAGTAATTAGCTGGTGTGTCGCCTTGGCGAGAATATATATGACTTTTGCTGAGAATTTTCATTAATGTTTATTTTCTATTTTTATTTTTTGAGATGGAGTCTCGCTCTGTCGCCCAGGCCGGAGTGCAGTGGCGCAATCTCAGCTCACTGCAAGCTCCACCTCCCGGGCTCACGCTGTTCTCCTGCCTCAGCCTCCTGAGTAGCTGGGACTACAGGCGCCCGCCACCGCGCCCGGAGAATTTTTTGTATTTTTAGTAGAGATGGGGTTTCACTGTGTTGGCCAGGATGGTCTTGATCTCCTGACCTCGTGATCCACCTGCCTTGGCCTCCCAAAGTGCTGGGATTACAGGCGTGAGCCACCGCGCCCGGCCATTAATGTTTATTTTGACGCAACTTCACAGTTACATTAAGGCAACAATATGGCGCAAAGAATTCCTTCGTATCAGGCATTCACATTCCCCAAACGCTGGCGGTCTACAACAGCTTCATCCTGGATCAGAACCAAGTGGAGGGACTGCTGTTTCTGTGGGCTGGTTTCCTGGGGGCTGCCATAACCAGTGACCAGAAACCGGGTGGGTTCGTCAACAGGAATTTATCATCTCCCAGTCTCGGATGTCGATGTTGAAGCCCTAACCCCCACTGCCTCAGAACGTGAGTGTATTTGGCCTCATAGTATTAGAACGAGGCTGTCAGGGTGGGCCCTAAAGCAACCTGCTGTTCTCATGAGAGGAAGTGTGGACACACACAGAAGAGACGATAGGGATACTTGTGCACAGTGAAAAGACCCTATGAGCGTACACCAGACGGCGTCCGCAAGCCGAGGAGAGGAGAAACCAGCCCTGCTGACAACACCTTGCTCTCGGACCTCAGCCTCCAGGTCTGTGGGAAGATAATTTTCAGTGAAGCCCTCCAGTCTTGGTACCTTATGGCGGCCCTGAACACTCATACAGACGGGTACATTTACTGTCCCTGTTCTTCTGCCGAGGAAATGGAGGCACAGAGACGTTTAGTGAACTTGACCCATGTGGGAGGGCCAGGAGCGGTCAAGGTTGGATTGGAACAAACCACCCTTTTTGCAGCACTCACGTTCTTAGGCACGACGCCTGCTTCCTTAGGTGCTCTGCAAAGAGAATACGGCAGAGTGCACCCCGAACACGCAACGGTACAGTCACAAAGATGACACTGGCTCCAAGTGTCTTCAGCAAAATGGGAACGTGTCAGAAGAGTAGGGGGGTCTCTCATGGCGTGAATACAAGGCCCCTAGAAAGGAAGAGACAGCTCAGCCCACCACCCTCAGAGGAAGGTCTTGGTTCTGCTTTACCACTGAGTAGTTTCCCACCTCCGACAGGAGAAGGCCTCAGTACCTAGACCTCAGGACCTAGAAGGTCTCAGTACCTAGGCGACCTCAGTACCGACGAGGTCTCTGTACATAGGAGATCTCCGTGCCTAGGAGACCTCAGTATCTAGGAGGTCTCAGCACCGTGGCGACCTCAGCACCGAGGCAACCTCAGTACCGAGGCGACCTCAATACCTAGGAGGTCTCAGCACCGAGGCGACCTCAGCACCGAGGAGACTTCAGTACCGAGGAGATCTCAGTACCCAGGGGACCTCAGTACCTAGTAGGTCAAACTGAGAGACGAAACGTAGAGGGGAGGTTGTCACGGGCTGGGGGAGGCGGAAAGGAGAGCTGTTCAGCTTGGAAAGGTGCAAACGTTCTGCAGACAGACGGTGGCGCCGAGCGCACCACGCGATGTGCTCAGTCCCACCGACCTGCGCCCTGAAAACGGCCAGTATGGCAAACTCCGTGTTTTGTATATTGTGCCACAAAGAAGAAAAAGTGTCTTAGGGAGAGAGGGAGGGAGAGAGGGAGGGCGAGGAGCGAGGGCGCCGCGGCCGGCCCCGCCCCGCCCCGCCGCGCAGCCCCCTACAGGCCGAGCAGCTCGCGCGGGGTCCCGCGTCCCCCAGGTCGGCTCCCGCCCGGGGCTGGGCCGCTGCGGGAACAGGGTTGGCCCAAGGCAGCCGCCGGTCCCGAGCAGCATGCGCGATGCGGGCTGGGCAGGACCCCGTGGCCCCTCCGCCGCCCTCTCAGTCCGCGCGAGGGCCCCACTCGGGGCTCGGCCGGGCTCCGGGAACGCGGTCTGCGGTCCAGGGGCCGCGAGCCTCCGCCGCTCCTCGGCCTCGTGGGCCCGGGCGCTGGGTGGGGCCGCGGGTGGGCGTCAGGGGCCAGGCTGGGCGCCGAGGTCTGCAAAGGGGCGGAGAAGACGGGCTTGGGCTCCGCGCAGAACCTGCGAGTGGGCGGCGGTGCACCTCCCACCCGGGTCACCTCGGTGCCACCCATGCCTGCCTCAGTGCAGGCGGACCCACGGCCCTCCACGCCCTCCCTCGCTCGCGTGCTGCCCGGCTGGCCGCTGTTCGCATCCTCTCGCTAACTCCGTGGGGTCCCGCCCATTCGGGCGACTGCCCCGGCTGCAGCCCACCCGCTAATCTCGGCTATCTTCCCTCACTCAGTTCTTCGCCTCCACCAGCTTCGGCTCTTTTCGTCACCCCTCTTTACTCCCCGTTCCTCTCCGTCACTTTCCGTCATCTCCGAATAGGCTCGGCCGGCTGCATCTCACCATTTCGCTTTCCTCTTTGTCGCCCTCTGATAAATTTCGTGACTCTTCGTCACTGTCCGTCAGTCCCCGTCACTTTCCGTCAATTCTCGCCACTTTCCGTCGCTCTCCGCCGCCCTTCAGCTCCGCTCGGCTCTTCTCCGTCAGACATCGTCTACTTTCGTCACTCTCCGTCACCCTTCGTCACTCTCCGTCTGCTCCCTACCCCGCACTCCGGGTGGAGAAAGCCTCAGGGACTTTTCCTGCCCTTAGCCCTTTTCCGTCCCTCTCCGATCCTGCTGTCTGTCAGTCCCTGGTTATTTCTGGTCTGCTCGTGACTCTGTCCTCCTCCCTTCACTCCTGGGAGGGTGGCCTGGTCCCTCCTGAGAGGCCTCTCCCCACTACCCGGCCTGAATGATGGTGGTGAGCGGGAGGTCTCGAGGTGATCCCGAGGGAAGGAGCGGGGGTCTGAGGGTGGTCCCGAGAGGGACCCGAGGGGTGGAGCGGGGGGAGGGTCTGGAGATGGCCCCGAGGAGGTCCCGATAGGAGGAGCGGCAGTCTGGGGGTGGTGCCGAGGGAAGAAGCCGTCTGGTGTGGTCTGGAAAATGGGAGCAGGGGGTCTGGGGTGGTCCCGAGGGGAGGAGCGGGGGTCTGGGGTGGTCCCGAGGGGAGGAGCGGGGGTCTGAGGTGGTCCCGAGGGGAGGAGCGGGGGGTCTGGGGGTGGTCCCGTGGGTAGGAGGGGGGGTCTGGGGATGGTCCTAAGAGGAGGAGCAGGGGGTCTGGGGGTGGTCCCGAGGGGAGGAGCGGGGGTCTGGGGTGGTCCCGAGGGGAGGAGCGGGGGTCTGGGGTGGTCCCGAGGGGAGGAGCGGGGGTTCTGGGGGTGGTCCCGAGGGGAGGAGCGGGGGTCTGGGGTGGTCCCGAGGGGAGGAGCGGGGGTCTGGGGTGGTCCCGAGGGGAGGAGCGGGGGTCTGGGGTGGTCCCGAGGGGAGGAGCTGGGGGTTCTGGGTGTGGTCCCGTGGGTAGGAGGGGGGGTCTGGGGATGGTCCTAAGAGGAGGAGCAGGGGGTCTGGGGGTGGTCCCGAGGGGAGGAGCGGGGGTCTGGGGTGGTCCCGAGGGGAGGAGCGGGGGTCTGGGGTGGTCCCGAGGGGAGGAGCGGGGGTCTGGGGTGGTCCCGAGGGGAGGAGCTGGGGGTTCTGGGTGTGGTCCCGTGGGTAGGAGGGGGGGTCTGGGGATGGTCCTAAGAGGAGGAGCAGGGGGTCGGGGGTGGTCCCGAGGGGAGGAGCGGGGGTCTGGGGTGGTCCCGAGGGGAGGAGCGGGGGTCTGGGGTGGTCCCGAGGGGAGGAGCGGGGGTCTGGGGTGGTCCTAAGAGGAGGAGCAGGGGGTCTGGGGGTGGTCCCGAGGGGAGGAGCTGGGGGTTCTGGGTGTGGTCCCGTGGGTAGGAGGGGGGGTCTGG
The DNA here is from genome assembly GCF_000001405.40 of Homo sapiens. Classification (NCBI taxonomy): domain Eukaryota; kingdom Metazoa; phylum Chordata; class Mammalia; order Primates; family Hominidae; genus Homo; species Homo sapiens. The sequence goes on along the minus strand of NC_000023.11, from coordinate 17,917 downwards.
GGATGGTCCTAAGAGGAGGAGCAGGGGGTCTGGGGGTGGTCCCGAGGGGAGGAGCGGGGGTCTGGGGTGGTCCCGAGGGGAGGAGCGGGGGTCTGGGGTGGTCCCGAGGGGAGGAGCGGGGGTCTGGGGTGGTCCCGAGGGGAGGAGCTGGGGGTTCTGGGTGTGGTCCCGTGGGTAGGAGGGGGGGTCTGGGGATGGTCCTAAGAGGAGGAGCAGGGGGTCTGGGGTGGTCCCGAGGGGAGGAGCGGGGGTCTGGGGTGGTCCCGAGGGGAGGAGCGGGGGTCTGGGGGTGGTCCCGAGGGGAGGAGCGGGGGTCTGGGGTGGTCCCGAGGGGAGGAGCTGGGGGTTCTGGGTGTGGTCCCGTGGGTAGGAGGGGGGGTCTGGGGATGGCCCTAAGAGGAGGAGCGGGGGTCTGCATGTGGTTTTCAGGGGTGGAGCATGGGGTCTCCCTGTGGTTCGGAGGGTGGAGCAGGGGGTCTGGGGTTGGTACTTTTGGGCGGGACAGCGCTATTTCTCTTTTTGGTCCGGTTCCCATCTGCTGATCTGGGGGTCCTTGTGATCCTGACAGGTGGGGCCGAATGGGAGGGTCAAGGTGAGGGGAAGGAAGGAGTGGCAGCCTGGTCCCAAGGGAGCAGGAAAGGGTTTGTGGTTCAGTTCTGATGTGTGACCCATCCATAGGAGAATGGACACCTCAGACTCTCTCAATCCTGGCCAGTGGCAGGTCCCAGTAGCTGCCTTCCCTGGCTGTCCTTGAGGCTCACTGGAGGATACTTCTTTTTCATTCTGGCAAATTTTAAAAAATTCTTCTATAGATCTCAGTGAGTTCAAAGCTGCCTGTGTGCAGGCATAGATCCGTTCTTTGCTGAGCTTCCACTCTAGTCGGCTGAAAGGAAAGGGTAATATAGCTGGAAAAGGTATCCTGGGGTGATTAGAGGATTCTACATTTCATCTTAGAAAGGGATATTGACAGGAGACCAGAACTTCCAGATCCTCTTGAATTTCAAGAACTACTTCCAAGCCTGGACAATATCGGGAGGCCTCATCTCTACAAAATAAAAATTAAGAAATTCGCCACGTGCGATGGCACACTCCTGTAGTCCCACCTACTCTGGAGGCTGAGGCGGGAAGATCGCTTGAGCTTGGGAGTCCGAGGCTGCAGTCAGCTGTGATCATGCCACTGCACTCCAGCCTGGGTGACAGAGCAAGACCCTGAAAAAAAAAAGGGAGGGAGGGAAGGAGGGAGGGAGGGAGGAAGGAAGGAATGAAGGAAGGAAGGAAATGGCTTAAGCTCAGAGAGCTGTGTGTGGCCCCCAGCTCCCACCCCCACCAAAGGGCCTGCAAACCCACGGAGGGGCAGGTTGTCTTGAGCTGGAGCTACGGGGACGGGGGGACCTGAACTGTCGGGGTTAGGGTTAGGGTTAGGCTTTGAGATTTCGGGTTACAGAATATAGATGGGTTTGGTCCTGGGAAAATTCCAGGTCTGGGTTTTGCGGTTGGGGGTTGGTCTCAGGTGAGATGCGGCAGGTTTACAGTGTTTGCAAGGTATGTACAGATTTATATGGTGCTATTGCTTGAATGTGTTCTCCAGATTTCATGTGTTGGCAATTTTTTTTCTTTTCTTTTTGACATGGTGTCTTGCTCTGTCATCTATCACCCAGGCTGGAGTGCAATCGTGGGATCTCGGCTCGCTGCAACCTCTGCCTCCCAGGTTCGAGCGATTCTCACACCTCAGCCTCCTGGTAGCTGGCATTGTGGCAGGACAAGCCGCAGACAAAATTCCTCAGACACTGGGTTAAAGAAGGAAGGGCTTTACTCTGCCAGGAGCATCGGCACACTTGCGCCTGAAGAGCCAAGCTCCCCGAAAACGAAATTCCTGGCCCTTTTAAGGGTTTACAACTCTAAGGGGTTTACGTGAAAGGGTTGTGATAGATCGAGGAAGCATGGGGAACGTGACTGGGGGCTACACGCATCAGATAACAGAACAGAAAGTTTTGCAGGGCTTCCTCATACAGTGTCTGGAATTTACAGATAACACAAGTAGTTTAGGTCAGGGGTTAATATTATTATTATTATTATTTTAACCACCAGGGTCGGGTGGTGCTGCCAAGATCATCTAGCTATTTATCTTACTTCTGTTTTTTTTTTTTTTTTTTTAAGCTTTTTGCTTTCTCCCTTTTTCCCTGTTTTATAAACTAAGGAAGCGGTGTGGGGAAGGGAAGGGCAGCAGGAGGAGTGGTGGTCTCCTTCCTTAGGATTACAAGCACCGGGCCTCATTCCTGGCTAACGTTTTTTGTTTTTTTTTTGTATTTGTATTAGAGATGGGGTTTCACCATGTTGGCCAGGCTGGTCTTGAACTCCTGACCTCAGGTGATCGCCTGCCTTGGCCTCTGAAAGTGCTGGGATTAAAAGCACAAGGCAGCTGGGTGCGGTGGCTCAGGCCTGCAATCCTAGCACTTTGGGAGACCGAGATGGGTGGATCACGAGGTCAGGAGATCGAGACCATCCTGGCTAACATGGTGAAACCCCGTCTCTACAAAGAAATACAAAAAAAAAAAAAAAAAAATTACCTGGGCGTGGTGGCGGGCGCCTGTAGTCCCAGCTACTCAGGAGGCTGAGGCAGGAGAATGGCGTGAACCCGGGAGGCAGAGCTTGCAGTGAGCCGAGATAGCGCCACTGCACTCCAGCCTGGGCGACAGAGCGAGACTCCGTCTCAAAAAAAAAAAAAAAAAAAGCACAAGCCATCGCGCCCAGCCATGTGTTGGCAATTTAATCCCCGAATTCATGTCCTGATTGGAGATATGGCCTTTGGGAGGCAATTAGGATTAGATAATGTTATTAGGTTGGGTCCCCAGTCATGGGACTCGTGGCTTTATAAGATGAGGAAGAGAGACTGGAGCGGACACGCAGTCTTGCCCTCTCCTCCCTCGCCCGCACACTCTTGCTCTCCCCTCCCCTGCCATGTGCAGCCCTCCACTGGGCTGTGATGCTCTAGGCCTCCCCAGCCACCAGAACTTGCCCTCCCCTCCCCGGCCATGAGTGGACACGGACTCCCGCCCTCCCGCCATGTGCCGCCCTCCACTGGGCTGGGATGCTCTGGGCCATGTGCTGCCTGGGGTCCAGGGGCCGTTAGTCTCCGCCGCTCCTCGGCCTCGTGGGCCCGGGCGCTGGGTGGGGCCGCGGGTGGGCGTCAGGGGCCAGGCTGGGCGCCGAGGTCTGCAAAGGGGCGGAGAAGACGGGCTTGGGCTCCGCGGAGAGACTGCCAGGGGGCGGCGGTGCACCTCCCACCCGGGTCACCTCGGTGCCACGCATGCCTGCCTCAGTGCAGGCGGACCCACGGCCCTCCACGCCCTCCCTCGCTCGCGTGCTGCCCGGCTGGCCGCTGTTCGCATCCTCTCGCTAACTCCGTGGGGTCCCGCCCATTCGGGCGACTGCCCCGGCTGCAGCCCACCCGCTAATCTCGGCTATCTTCCCTCACTCAGTTCTTCGCCTCCACCAGCTTCGGCTCTTTTCGTCACCCCTCTTTACTCCTCGTTCCTCTCCGTCACTTTCCGTCATCTCCGATTAGGCTCGGCCGGCTGCATCTCACCATTTCGCTTTCCTCTTTGTCGCCCTCTGATAAATTTCGTGACTCTTCGTCACTGTCCGTCAGTCCCCGTCACTTTCCGTCAATTCTCGCCACTTTCCGTCACTCTCCGCCGCCCTTCAGCTCCGCTCGGCTCTTCTCCGTCAGACATCGTCTACTTTCGTCACTCTCCGTCACCCTCCGTCACTCTCCGTCTGCTCCCTACCCCGCACTCCGGGTGGAGAAAGCCTCAGGGGGTCCCGACAGGAGGAGCGGCAGTCTGGGGGTGGCGCTGAGGGAAGGAGCAGTCGCGTGGTCCGGAGGACAGGAGCAGGGAGTCTGGGGGTGGTTTCGTGGGGAGGAGCAGGGGGTCTGGGGGTGGTTCCCAGGGGAGGAGCGGGGGTCTGGGGGTGGTCCTGAGGGGAGAAGAGGGGGGTTACTGGGCGTGGTTTCGTGGGGAGGAGCAGGGGGTCTGGGCGTGGTCCCGAGGGCAGGAGCGGGGGTCTGGGGGTGGTCCCGAGGGGAAGCGTGGGGGTCTGGGGATGGCGCCGAGGGAAGGAGCTGTCTGGTGTGGTCCGGAGGACAGGAACAGTGGATCTGGGGGTGGTCCTGAGGGGAGGAGCGGGGGTCTGGGGGTGGTCCCGAGGGGAAGCGTGGGGGTCTGTGGGTGGTCCTTAGGGGAGGAGCGGGGGTCTGGGGGTGGTCCTGTGGGGAGGAGCAGGGGGTTCTGGGGGCGGTCCTGATGGGAGGAGCGGGGGTCTGGGGATGATCCTGAGGGGAGGAGCTGGGGTCTGGGGATGGCGCCGAGGGAAGGAGCTGTCCGGTGTGGTCCGGAGGACAGGAACAGTGGATCTGGGGGCGGTCCCGTGGGGAGGAGCAGGGGGTCTGGGGGTGGTTTTCAGGGATGGAGCATGGGGCCTCCCTGTGGTCCAGAGGGTGGAGCAGGGAGTCTGGGGGTGGTACTTATGGGCGGGACAGCACTATTTCTCTTTTTGGTCCGGTTCCCATCTGCTGATCTGGGGGTCCTTGTGATCCTGACAGGTGGGGCAGAATGGGAGGGTCAAGGTGAGGGGAAGGGATATTGACAGGAGGTCAGAACTTCAAGATCCTCTTGAATTTCAAGAACTACTTCCAAGCCTGGACAATATCGAGAGGCCTCATCTCTACAAAATAAAAATTAAGAAATTCGCTGGGTGCGATGGCACACTCCTGTAGTCCCACCTACTCTGGAGGCTGAGGAGGGAAGATAACTTGAGCCTGGGAGTCCGAGGCTGCAGTCAGCTGTGATCATGCCACTGCACTCCAGCCTGGGTGACAGAGCAAGACCCTGAAAAAAAAAAGGGAGGGAGGGAAGGAGGGAGGGAGGGAGGAAGGAAGGGAAGGGAGGGAGGAAGGAAGGAATGAAGGAAGAAAATGGCTTAAGCTCAGAGAGCTGTATGTGGCCCCCAGCTCCCACCCCCACCAGAGGGCCTGCAAACCCACGGAGGGGCAGGTTGTCTTGAGCTGGAACCACAGGGGCGGGGGGACCTCAACTGTAGGGGTTAGGGTTAGGGTTAGGCTTTGAGGTTTCGGGTTACAGAATATAGATGGGTTTGGTCCTGGGAAAATTCCAGGTTGAGTTTTGTAGTTGGGGGTTGGTCTCAGGTGAGATACGGCAGGTTTACTTGGGCCTGAAGAGCCGAGCTCCCCGAAAACGAAATTCCTGGCCCTTTTAAGGGTTTACGACTCTAAGGGGTTCACTTGAAAGGGTCGTGATAGATCGAGCAAGCATCGGAACGTGACTGGGGGCTACACGCATCAGATAACAGAACAGAAAGTTTTGCAGGGCTTCCTCATACAGTGTCTGGAATTTACAGATAACACAAGTAGTTTAGGTCAGGGGTTAATATTATTATTATTATTATTTTAACCACCAGTGCCGGGTGGTGCTGCCAAGGTCGTCTAGCTATTTATCTTACTTCTGTTTTTTTTATCTTTTTGCTTTCTCCCTTTTTCCCTGTTTCATAAACTAGAGAAGGGGGTGTGGGGAAGGGAAGGGCAGCAGAAGTGGCGGTCTCCTCCCTTAGGATTACAGGCACCCTGCGTTAACCTCAAAATTGTCTCAGTCCCAAAGAAGGGGCTAGATTTTCTTTTATACTTTTGTTTAGAAAGGGGAGTGGCGGTCTAGTTAAAAGAATTTTACATAAGTAAATCAGGCAAAATGTTAAAAGGATAAATGGTTACAGGAAAGTAAACAGTTCCAGGTGCAGGTGCTTTAAGACTATTACAAGGTGATAGACGCGGGTAATTGGGCGTTATCAATCGGACGAATTCCTGGGGACTGCGGATGTAGCTCGCCACAGTAGGTTGTCAGTTAATTGCATTCTCGGATGTCCTGGGAGTCAGCTTGCACGAGTTAAGTCTTTGAGGAAGGGGCTGCCAGTGAAAGAGCCAAGATGGAGTCTGTCCGGTTCTCTCAGTTAAGGGAGAGTCCTTTCAGGTGGAAAGAAGGCTAGGTGATTGAAGGAAAGGGAGAGTCTAAAAACAGGGTTAGCAAAAATGAGGTTGGGCATTACAGTTGTACCCTCCATCGCCTCTTCCAATCTCAAGCAATTCCATAACTTGGAAAACCTCAGGCAAGGACTTCCTGGAATATGTCCACTGTAACGACCAGGTTTTCCAGTGTGTTATCTACACCCTGTAACGCTGTTAGGTACATAATGTTTCAGCAATCTTTGTTCTTCACCAGCACTCTGAGTACATGAAAAAGGCCAAGATGCTTCTTCAGGGATGAATTTTGCTACTTTTTAAAGGAGACTTAAGAGGCACTTTTGGCACTCTAAGTCTTTCTTCAAATGATGAAATTTGTTACCTATTTAACTCATTGCTGTGACGCGTTTTCCAATTCTATGTTCCCTTGGTTTTTGTTGTATTTTTTTCTGCATGAACTCTACATCATTTACTCACTCTGAACGACAGAATAAAAGAAATTGGCCACCATATCATACTCGGAAGGACAATCATGGCCATGAGACACAAAGGACTCCCAGCCCTGGGCCCAGGCCCCCCTCACGCATGCAGCCATCGCGGCACTGTGCCTGAGTGGGCCATATGCATGGTGGGGACCCGATGCTGGGAGACACAGCTCAGGGCACAGGGGCCCCAAGAAGCCATAGCTGGGGAAAGCTCATTCCCGACAGGGCTCAGCTCCAACCTGAAACTAGAGTCCCACCCTGGGGTTTCCATGGTGGTGGTAAACCAACCACAGATTTTGGGGATATGACTGCTCCCTTTGCCACGATAGCTTCTTCCACGTGCCCCTGGCCTGATGACCAGACCACTAGAGAGGGGAGGCCCGAGTCCCAGGGATGGGTGGGTTGCAGGCAGAGCTGGGGCTGGATGGACGGTGAGTGGTGAGAGCTCAAGGTGCAGAAGGGGCTCCTGTCGGGGACTGGGTTAACAGGGACCGGGACAAATAGACGGGGACTCCCGAGATGAGAAAGACCTTTTCGTACAAAGTGTTTGCATCAGTACCTCACAATGAAAAGAATAAGATAAATAACAGTACAAAAAAGCAATCACCAGATCAGCTCAAGGCACTCTTTGAAGTCCCCCCTGTGTAGGGAAGTTGGAAGACATATCTGTGTGGCCCATAGAGAGTAGATCCCAAAGACAGAAGGCCCAAGTCCCTAAATCCCCACAGGGGAACTGTGTTACAGACCAGGAGCTCATGTACAGGGCTGTCCCAGGGCCCCTAAATTCCAGAAGGGAACTGGGTTAGAGTCCAGGGGCTCATGCAACGGGCTGTCCCTGGTCCCCTAAATCCCCACAGGGGAACTGGGTTAGAGATGAGGAGCTCATTTTCCGGGCTGTCCAGGTCCCCTAAATCCCAGATGGGAACTGGGTTATCAACCAGGTGCTCTTCTAGGGGTTGTCTCAGGGTCCTAGTGTGTCTGGAATTGGTGGGTTCTTGGTCTCACTGACTTCAAGAATGAAGACGCGGAACCTCGCGGTGAGTGTTACAGTTCTTAAAGGTGGCGCGTCCGGAGTTTGTTTCTTCTGATGTTCAGATGTGTTCTGAGTTTCTTCTTTCTGGTGGGGTTGTGGTCTCACTGGCTCAGGAGTGAAGCTGCAGACCTTTGCGGTGAGTGTCACAGCTCATAAAGGCAGTGTGGACCCAAAGAGTGAGCAATAGCAAGATTTATTGCAAAGAGTGAAAGAACGAAGCTTCCACAGTATGGAAAGGGACCCCATTGGGTTGCCACTGCTGGCTCAGGCAGTCTGCTTTTATTCTCTAATCTGCTCCCACCCACATCCTGCTGATAGGTCCACTTTCAGAGGGTTAGGGTTAGGGTTAGGGTTAGGGTTAGGGTTAG
>NT_187394.1:41876-73985 GCF_000001405.40 Homo sapiens | reverse complement strand
GAAGGTCTCAAAGCGCTCCAAATGTCCACTTCCAGATACCACAGAAAGAGTGTTTCAAACCTGCTCTATCAAATGGAACGTTCAACTCTGTAACTTGAAAGCAATCGTTACAAGGAACTTACTGAGAATCTTTCTGTTTAGATTTTATATGAAGATATTCCCGTTTCCAAGGAAATCATGAAAGCTATCCAAATATCCACTTGCAGGTCCTTCAAAAAGAGTGTTTCAAAATAGCTTTATCAAAAGAAATGCTCAACTCTGTTAGTTGTGCACACACATCACAAACTAGTTTCTGAGTATTCTTCTGTCTAGCTTTTATGGGAAGATACTTCCATTTTCACCATAGGCCTCAAAGCGCTCCGAATGTCCACTTCCTGATACCACAGAAAGAGTGTTTCAAACCAGCTCTATGAAATGGAATATCCAACTCTGTGACTTGAATGAAAACATCATTCAGAAGTTTCTGAGAATGCTTCTGTCTAGATTTTACAAGATAATCCCGTTTCCAACGAGATGCTGAAAGCTATCCAAATATCCACTTGCAGATTCTACAAAAAGAGTGTTTCAGAACAGCTCTATCAAAAGAAAGCTTCATCTGTGTTAGTTGAGTACACACATCACAAACAAGTTTCTGAGAATTCTTCTGTGTAGTTTTTAGGGGAAGATATTTCCATTTTCACCGTAGGCCTCAAAGTGCTCAATATGTCCACTCTCAGATACCACAGAAAGAGTCTTTCAAACCAGCTCTATGAAATGGTATGTTCAACTCCGTGACTTGAATGAAAACGTCACTAAGAAGTTTCTGAGAATGCTTCTATGCAGATTTTACAAGATAATCCCGTTTCCAACAAAATGCTCAAAGCTATCCAAATATCCACTTGCAGATTCTACAAAAAGAGTGTTTCACAACTGCACAATCAAAAGAAAAGTTCAACTGTGGTAATTGAGTACACACATCACAAACTAGTTTCTGAGAATTCTTCTGTGTAGTTTTGAGGGGATGACATTTCCATTTGCACCATAGGCCTCAAAGCGGTGCAAATGTCCAGTTCCAGAAACTACAAGAACAGTGTTTCAAACCTGCTGTATGAAATGGAATGTTCAGCTGTGTGACTTCAATGCAAACATCACTAAGAGGTTTCTGAGAATGTTTCTGTCTAGATTTTACCTGAAGATATTCCCCGTTCCAACGAAATCGGTAAAGGTTTCCAAATATCCACTTGCAGATTCTAGAAAAAGAGTGTTTCAGAACAGCTTTATCAATAGAAAGCTTCAACTGTGTCAGGTGAGTACACACATCACAAACAAGTTTCTTAGAATTCTTCTGTGTAGTTTTTAGGGGAAGGTATTTCCATTTTCACCGTAGGCCTCAAAGTGCTCCAAATGTCCACTTCCAGATACCACAGAAAGAGTGTTTCAAACCTGCTCTATCAAATGGAATGTTCAACTCTGTAACTTGAAAGCAATCATTACAAGGAAGTTACTGAGAATCTTTTTGTGTAGATTTTATATGAAGATATTCCCGTTTCCAAGGAAATCCTGAAAGCTATCCAAATATCCACTTGCAGGTTCTTCAAAAAGAGTGTTTCAAAACAGCTCTATCAAAAGAAAGGATCAACCTCTGTTAGTTGAGTACACACATCACAAACTAGTTTCTGAGTATTCTTCTGTCTAGTTTTTATGGGAAGATATTTCCATTTTCACCATAGGCCTCAAAGCGCTCCAAATGTCCAGTTCCAGAAACTACAAAAAGTGTGTTTCAAACCTTCTGTATGAAATGTAATGTTCAACTCTGTGACCTGAATGGAAACAGCAGTAGGAAGTGTCTGACAATTCTTCTGTGTAGATTTCATGTGAAGATATTCCAGTTTCTAACGAAATCGTTAAAGCTATCCAAATATGCACTTGCAGGTTCTACAGAAAGAGTGTTTCAAAACAGTTCTATCAAAAGAAAGGTTCAACTCTGTTAGTTGAGTTCACACATCCGAAAGTACTTTCTGAGAATTCTTCTGTCTAGTTAATTTGGAAGATATTTCCATTTTCACCGAAGGTCTCAAAGCGCTCCAAATGTCCACTTCCAGATACCACAGAAAGAGTGTTTCAAACCAGCTCTATGAAATGGAATGTTCAACTCTGTGACTTGAATGAAAACATCACTAAGAAGTTTCTGAGAATGCTTCTGTCTAGATTTTACAAGATAATCCCGTTTCCAACGAAATGCTCAAAGCTATCCAAATATCCACTTGCAGATTCGACAAAAAGAGAGTTTCACAGCTGCACAATCAAAAGAAAAGTTCAACTGTGTTAGTTGAGTAGACACATCACAAACTAGTTTCTGAGAATTCTTCTGTGTAGTTTTGAGGGGAAGATATTTCCATTTGCACCATAGGCCTCAAAGCGCTGCAAATGTCCAGATCCAGAAACTACAAAAAGAGTGTTTCAAACCTGCTGTATGAAATGGAATGTTCAGCTCTGTGACTTCAATACAAACATCACTAAGAGGTTTCTGAGAATGTTTCTGTCTAGATTTTATCTGAAGATATTCCCTTTTCCAAGGAAATCGGTAAAGGTATCCAAATATCGACTTGCAGATTCTACAAAAAGAATGTTTCAGATCAGCTCTATCAAAAGAAAGGTTCAACTGTGTTAGTTGAGTACACACATCACAAACTAGTTTCTGAGTATTCTTCTGTCTAGTTTTTATGGGAAGATATTTCCATTTTCACCATAGGCCTCAAAGCGCTCCAAATGTCTAGTTCCAGAAACTACAAAAAGGGTGTTTCAAACCTTCTGTATGAAATGTAATGTTCAACTCTGTGACTTGAATGCAAACAGCAGTAGGAAGTGTCTGAGAATCCTTCTGTGTAGATTTTATGTGAAGATATTCCCGTTTCCAACGAAATCTTTAAAGCTATCCAAATATGCACTTGCAGGTTCTACAGAAAGAGTGTTTCAAAACAGTTCTATCAAAAGAAAGGTTCAACTCTGTTAGTTGAGTTCACACATCAGAAAGTAGTTTCTGAGAATTCTTCTGTCTAGTTAATTTGGGAAGATATTTCCATTTTCACCGAAGGTCTCAAAGCGCTCCAAATATCCACTTCCAGATACCACAGAAAGAGTGTTTCAAACCTGCTCTATCAAATGGAATGTTCAACTCTGTAACTTGAAAGCAATCCTTACAAGGAACTTACTGAGAATCTTTCTGTTTAGATTTTATATGAAGATATTCCCGTTTCCAAGGAAATCATGAAAGCTATCCAAATATCCACTTGCAGGTCCTTCAAAAAGAGTGTTTCGAAATAGCATTATCAAAAGAAATGCTCAACTCTGTTAGTTGTGCACACACATCACAAACTAGTTTCTGAGTATTCTTCTGTCTAGCTTTTATGGGAAGATATTTCCATTTTCACCATAGGCCTCAAAGCGCTCCGAATGTCCACTTCCTGATACCACAGAAAGAATGTTTCAAACAAGCTCTATGAAATGGAATGTCCAACTCTGTGACTTGAATGAAAACATCATTAAGAAGTTTCTGAGAATGCTTCTGTCTAGATTTTACAAGATAATCCCGTTTCCAACGAGATGCTGAAAGCTATCCAAATATCCACTTGCAGATTCTACAAAATGAGTGTTTCAGAACTGCACAATCAAAAGAAAAGTTGAACTCTGTGAGTTGAGTACACACATCACAAACTAGTTTCTGAGAATTCTTCTGTGTAGTTTTGAGGGGAAGATATTTCCATTTGCACCATAGGCCTCAAAGCGTTGCAAATGTCGAGTTCCAGAAACTACAAAAAGAGTGTTTCAAACCTGCTGTATGAAATAGAATGTTCAGCTGTGTGACTTCAATGCAAACATCACTAAGAGGTTTCTGAGAATGTTTCTGTCTAGATTTTATCTGAAGATATTCCCGTTTGCAACGAAATCGTTAAAGGTATGCAAACATCCACTTGCAGATTCTACCAAAAGAGTGTTTCAGAACAGCTCTATCAAAAGAAAGGTTCAACTGTGTTAGTTGAGTACACATATCACAGACAAGTTTCTGAGAATTCTTCTGTGTAGTTTCTAGGGGAAGATATTTCCATTTTCACCCTAGGCCTCAAGGTGCTCCAAATGTCCACTTCCAGATACCACGGAAAGAGTGTTTCAAACCTGCTCTATGAAATGGAATTTTCAACTCTGTAACTTGAAAGCAATCATTACAAGGAAGTTACAGAGAATCTTTCTGTTTAGATTGTATATGAAGATATTCCCGTTTCCAAGGAAATCGTGAAAGCTATCCAAATATCCACTTGCAGGTTCCTCAAAAAGAGTGTTTTGAAATAGCTTTATCAAAAGAAATGCTCAACTCTGTTAGTTGTGTACACACATCACAAACTAGTTTCTGAGTATTCTTCTGTCTAGCTTTTATATGAAGATAATTCCATTTTCACTATAGGCCTCAAAGCGCTCCGAATGTCCACTTCCTGATACCACAGAAAGAGTATTTCAAAGTAGCTCTATGAAAAGGAAATTTCATCTCTGTTCGTTGAATGAAAACATCAATAAGTAGTTTCTGAGAATGCCTCTGTCTAGATTTTATAAGATAATCCAGTTTCCAACGAAATCCTCAAAGCTATTCAAATATCCACTTGCAGATTCTACAAACAGAGTGTTTCGAAACTGCTCACTCAAAAGAAAGACTCAACTGTGTTAGTTGAGTACACACATCACAAGCAAGTTTCTGAGAATTCTTCTGTCTAGCTTTTATGGGAAGATATTTCCATTTTCACCATAGGCCTCAAAGCGCTCCAAATGTCCAGTTCCAGAAACTACAAAAAGTGTGTTTGAAACCTTCTGTATGAAATGTAATGTTGAACTCTGTGACTTGAATACAAACATCAGTAGGAGATTTCTGAAAATCCTTCTGTGTAGATTTTATGTCAAGATATTCCCGTTTCTAATGAAATCGTTAAAGCTATCCAAATATGCACTTGCAGGTTCTATACAAGGAGTTCTCAAAACAGTTCTATCAAAGGAAAGTTTCAACTCTGTTAGTTGAGTTCACACATCAGAAACTAGTTTCTGAGAATTCTTCTGTCTAGTTAATTTGGGAAGATATTTCCTTTTTCACCAAAGGTCTCAAATCCTTCCAAATGTCCACTTCCAGATACCACAGAAAGAGTGTTTCAAACCAGCTGTATGAAATGGAATGTTCAACTCCGTGACTTGAATGAAAACATCACTAAGAAGTTTCTGAGAATGCTTCTGTCTAGATTTTACAAGATAATCCCGTTTCCAACGAAATGCTCAAAGCTATCCAAATATCCACTTGCAGATTCTACAAAAAGACTGTTTCAGAACTGCACAATCAAAAGAAAAGTTCAACTGTGTGAGTTGAGCACACCCATAACAAACAAGTTTCTGAGAATTCTTCTGTCTAGTTTTTAGGGGAAGATATTTCCATTTTCACCATAGGCCTCAAAGCGCTCCAAATGTCCAGTTCCAGAAACTACAAAAAGTGTGTTTCAAACCTTCTGTATGAAATGTAATGTTCAACTCTCTGACTTGAATGCAGACATCACTAGGAAGTTTCGGAGAATCCTTCTCTGTAGATTTTATGTGAAGATATTCCCGTTTCTAACGAAATCGTGAAATCTATCCCAATATGCACTTGCAGGGTCTACACAGAAAGAGTGTTTCCAAACAGTTCTATCAAGGAAATTTTCAACTCCGTTAGTTGAGTTCACACATCAGAAACTAATTTCTGAGAATTCTTCTGTCTAGTTATTTTGGGAATATATTTCCATATTCACCGAAGGACTCAAAGAGCTCCAAATGTCCCCTTCCAGATACCACAGAAAGAGTGTTTCAAACCAGCTCCATGAAATGGAATTTTCACCTCTGTGAGTTGAATGAAAACATCAATAAGAAGTTTCTGAGAATGCCTCTGTCTAGATTTTATAAGATTATCATGTTTCTAACGAAATGCTCAAAGCTATCCAAATATCCACTTGCAGATTCTACCAAAAGAGTGTTTCAGAACTGCACAATCCAAAGAAAAGTTCAACTGTGTTAGTTGAGTACACACATCACAAACTAGTTTCTGAGAACTTTTCTGTGCAGTTTTGAAGGGAATATATTTTCATTTGCACCATAGGCCTCAAAGCGCTGCAAAGTCCACTTCCAGAAACTACAAAAAGAGTCTTTCAAACCTGCTTTATGAAATGGAATGATCAGCTGTGTGACTCCAATGCAAACATCACTAAGTGGTTTCTGAGAATGCTTCTGTCTAGATTTTATATGAAGACATTCCCGATTCCAACGAAATCGTTAAAGGTATCCAAATATCCACTTGCAGATTCTACAAAAAGAGTGTTTCAAAACACCTCTATCAAAAGAAAGGTTGAACTCTGTGAGTTGAGTACACACATCCAAGCATGTTTCTGAGAATTCTTCTGTGTAGTTTTTAGGGGAAGATATTTCCATTTTCACCATAGGCCTCAAGAGCTCCAAATGTCCACTTCCAGATACCACAGAAAGAGTGTTTCAAACCTGCTCTATGAATTGCAACGTTCAACTCTTTGGCTTGAATGCAAACTTCACTAGGAAGTTTCTGAGAATCCTTCTGTGTAGATTTTATGTGAAGATATTCCCGTTTCCAGTCAAACCATGAAAGCTATCAAATTATGCACTTGCAAGTTCTACAAAAAGGGTGTTTCAAAACAGCTCTCTCAAAAGATAGGCTCAACTCTTTTAGTTGAGTACACACATCACAAACTAGTTTCTGAGAATTCTTCTGTGTAGTTTTTAGGGGAAGATATATCCATTTTCACCATAGGTCTCAAAGCCCTCCAAATGTCCACTTCCAGATACCACAGAAAGTGTGTATCAAACCTGCTCTATCAAACGGAATGTTCAACTCTGTGACTTGAATGCAATCATTTCAAGGAAGTTACTGAGAATCTTTCTGTATAGAGTTTATATGAAGATGTTCCCGTTTCCAACGAAATCATGAAAGCTATCCAAATATCCAATGGCAAATTCCACAAAAAGTGTCTTTCAAATCTGCTCTATCAAGAGAAAGGTTCAACTGTGTTAGTTGAGTACACACATCACAAACTAGATTCTGAGAACTCTTCTGCCTACTTTTAAAGGGAAGATATTTCCAATTTCAACATAGGCCTGAAAGTGCTCCAAATGTCCAATTCCTGATGCTACAAAAAGAGTGTTTCAAACCTGCTCTATGAAAAGGAATGTTGAACTCTGTGACAGGAATGCAAATGTCACAAAGATGTTTCTCAGAATGCTTCTGTCTAGATTTCATATGAAGATATTCCCGTTTCCAACGAAATCCTCAAAGCTATCCAAATATCCACTTGCAGATTCTCCAAAAATCGTGTTTCAAAACAGTTCTATGAAAAGAAAGGTTCAACTCTGTGAGTTGAGTACACACATCACAAACTAGTTTCTGAGAATGCTTCTTTCTAGTATTTATGGGAAGAGATTCCCTTTTTCACCATATTCCTCAAAGCGCTCCAAATGTCCACTTCCAGATACTAGAAAAAGAGTGTTTCAAACGTGCTCTATGAAAGGGAATGTTCAACTCTGTGAGTTGAATGGAGACGTCACAAAGAAGTTTCTCACAATGCTTCTGTCTAGATTTTATATGAAGATAATCCTGATTCCAATGAAATCGTCAAATCTATCCAAATATCCACTTTCAGATTCTACAAAAGGACGGTTTCAAACCAGCTCTATGAAATGGAATGTTGAACTCTGTGACTTGAATGCAAACATCACTAAGAAGCTTCTAAGAATGCTTCCGTCTAGATTTTATATGAAGATATTCCCATTTCCAACGAAATCCTCAAAGCTCTCCAAATATCCACTTGCAGATTCTACAAAAAGCGTGTTTCGAAACTGCTCTATCAAAAGAAATGTTCAACTCTGTTAGTTGAGTACACACATTACAAACTAGTTTCTGAGAATTCTTCTGTCCAGTTTTTATGGGAAGATATTTCCATTTTCACCATAAGCCTCAACTCGCTCTAAATGTCCACTTCCAGATACTACAAAAAAAGGGTTTCAAACCTGCTCTATGAAAGGGAATGTTCAACCGTGTGACTTGAATGTGAACATCGCAAAGATGTTTCTCACAAAGCTTCTGTCTAGATTTTCTATGAAGATATTCCCGTTTCCAACGGTATCATCAAAGCTATCCAAATATCCACTTGCAAATTCTACAAAAAGACTGTTTCAAACCTGCTCTAAGAAATGGAAAGTTCAACCCTGTGACTTGAATGCAAACATCACTTAGAAGTTTCTGAGAATGCTTCTTTCTAGATTTTATATGAAGACATTCCCGTTTCCAATGAAATCGTCCCAGCTATCCAAATATCCACTTGCAGATTTTTCAAAAAGAGTGTTTCAAACCTGCTCTATCAAAAGAAAGTTTCAACTCTGTTAATTGAGTACACACATAACAAACCAGTTTCTGAGAATTCTTCTGTCTAGCTTTTATGGGAAGGTATTTCCTTTTTCACCACAGGCCTCAAAACGCTCAAAATGTCCATTTCCAGATACTACAAAAAGAGTTTTTGAAACCTGCTCTATGAAAGGGAATGTTCAACTCTGTGACTTGAATGCAAATATCACAAAGATGTTTCTCACAATGCTTCTGTGTAGATGTTATATGAAGATATTACCGTTTCCAACGAAATCGTCAAATCTATCCAAATATCCACCTGCAGATTCTACAAAAAGAGTGTTTCAAACCTGCTCTATGAAATGGAATATTCAGCTCTGTGACTTGAATGCAAACATCACTAAGAATTTTCTGAGAATGATTCTGTCTAGAACTTATAAGATATTCCCTTTTCCAACGAAATCCTCAAAGGTATCCAAATATCCACTTGCAGGTTCTACAAAAAGAATCTTTCAAATCTGCTCTATCAAAACAAAGGTTCAACTGTGTTAGTTGAGTACACACATCACAAACAAGTTTCTGAGAACTCTTCTGCCTAGTTTTTAGGGGAAGATATTTCCTTTTTCAACATAGGCCTCAAAGCGCTCCAAATGTCCACTTCCAGATACTACAAAAAGAGTGTTTCAAACCTGCTCTGTGAAAGGGAATGTTGAACTCTGTGACATGAATGCAAACATCACAAAGATATTTCGCAGAATGCTAATGTCTAGATTTCATATGAAGATATTCCCGTTTCCAACGAAATCCTCAAAGCTATCCAAATATCCACTTGCAGATTCTACAAAAAGAGTATTTCAAAACAGTTCTATGAAGGAAAAGTTCAACTCTGTGAGTTCAGTACACACATCACAAACAAGTGTCTGAGAATGCTTCTGTCTAGTTTTTATGGGAAGAGATTCCCTTTTTCACCTTATGCCTCAAAGCGCTCCAAATGTCCACTTCCAGATACTTCAAAAAGAGTGTTTCAAACCTGCTCTATGAAAGGGAGTGTTCAACACTGTGAGTTGAATGCAAACATCACAAAGTTGTTTCTCACAATGCCTCTGTATAGATTTTATATGAAGTTATTCCTGATTCCAACGAAATCGTCAAAGCTATGCAAATATCCACTTGCAGATTCTACAAAAGGACTGTTTCAAACCAGCTCTATGAAATGGAATGTTCAACTCTGTGACTTGAATGCACACATCACTAAGAAGCTTCTGAGAATGCTTCTGTCTAGATTTTATATGAAGATATTCCCATTTCCAACGAAATCCTCAAACGTATCCAAATATCCACTTGCAGATTCTCCAAAAAGAGTGTTTCAAAACTGTTCTATCAAAAGAAAGGTTCAAATCTGTTAAATTAGTACACACATCACAAACTAGTTTCTGAGAATTCCTCTGTCTAGTTTTCATGGGAAGATATTTCCATTTTCACCATGAGCCTCAAAGCGCTCTAATTATCCACTTGCAGATACTACAAAAAGAGTGTTTCATACCTGCTCTATGAAAGGGAATGTTCAACTCTGTGACTTGAATGGAAACATCACAAAGATGATTCTCACAATGCTTCTGTCTAGATTTTATATGAATATATTAACCTTTCCAACGGAATCGTCAAAGCTATCCAAATATCCACTTGCAGATTCTACAAAAAGACTGTTTCAAACCTGCTCCATAAAATTAAATGTTCAACTCTGTGACTTGTATGCAAACACCACTAAGAAGTTTCTGAGAATGTTTCTGTCTAGATTTTAAATGAAGATATTCCGGTTTCCAAAGAAATCATCAAAGCTGTAAAAATATCCACTTGCAGTTTCTACAAAAAGAGTGTTTCAAAACTGCTATATCAAAAGAAAGGTTCAACTCTGTTAGTTAAGTACACACATCACAAACTAGTTTCTGAGAATTCTTCTGTCTGGTTTTTATGGGAAGATATTTCCATTTTCACCATAGGCATCAAAGCGCTCCAAATATCCATTTCCAGAAGCTACAAAAAGTGTGTTTCAAACTTGCTCTATGAAATGGAATGTTCAACTCTGTGACTTGAATGCAAACATCACTAAGAAGTTACTGAGAAGGCTTCTGTGTAGATTTTATGTGAACATTTTCCCGTTTGCAAAGAAATCGTCAAAGCTATCCAAATATCCACTTGCAGATTCTACAAAAAGAGTGTCTCAAAACAGCTCTACCAAAAGAAAGGTTCAACTCTGTTAGTTGGGTACACACATCACCAACTAGTTTCTGAGAATTCTTCTGTCTAGTTTTTATGGGAAGATATTTCCATTTTCACCACAGGCCTCAAAGCGCTCCAAATATCAACTTCCAGTTACTACAGAAAGAGTGTTTCAAACCTGCTCTATGAAATGGAATGTTCAACTCTGTGACTTCAATGCAAACATCACTAAGAGGTTTCTGAGAATGCTTCTGTCTAGATTTTATATGAAGATATTCCCGTTTCCAAGGAAATCGTCAAAGCTATCCAAATATCTACTTGCAGATTCTACAAAAAGAGTGTTTCAAAACAGCTCTATTAAAAGAAAAGTTCAACTCTGTTAGTTGAGTACCCACATCAGAAACTAGTTTCTGAGTATTCTTCTGTCTAGTTTTTATGGGAAGATATTTCCATTTCCACCATTGGCCTCAAAGTGTTCCAAATGTCCACTTCCAGATACTACAGTAAGAGTGTTTCAAACCTGCTCTATGAAAGGGAATGTTGAACTCTGTGACAGGAATGCAAACATCAGAAAGATGTTTCTCAGAATGCTTCTGTCTAGATTTCATATGAAGATATTCCCGTTTCCAACGAAATCCTCAAAGCTATCTAAATATCCACTTGCAGATTCTACAAAAAGAGTGTTTCAAAACTGCTGTATTGAAAGAAAGGTTCTACGCTGTTAGTTGAGTACACACATCAGAAACTAGTTTCTGAGATCTCTTCTGTCTAGTTTTTTAGGAAAGATGTTTCCTTTTTCACCATAGGCCTCAAAGCACTCCAAATGTCCACTTCCAGATGCTACAAAATGAGTGTTTCAAACCTGCTCTATGAAAGGGAATGTTGAACTCTGTGACATGAATGTAAACATCACAATGATGTTTCTCAGAATGCTTCTGTCTAGATTTTATATGAAGATATTCCCGTCTCCAACGAAATCCTCAAAGCTATCAAAATATCCACTTGCGGATTCTCCAGAAAGACTGTTTCAAAACAACTGTATCAAAAGAAATTTCACCTCTGTGTGTTGAGTACACACATCGCAAACACGTTTCTGAGAATGCTTCTGTCTTTTTTTTATTGGAAGAGTTTCCCTTTTTCACCATATGCCTCAAAGCGCTCCAAATATCCACTTCTGCATACTACAAAATGAGTGTTTCAAACCTGCTCTATGAAAGGGAATGTTCAACTCTGTGAATTGAATGCAAACATCACAAAGATGTTTCTCACAGTGCTTTTGTCTAGATTGTATATGAAGATATTCCCGTTTCCAACGAAATCATCAAAGCTATCCTAATATCCACTTGCAGATTCTACAAAAAGACTGTTTCAAACCTGGTCTATGAAATGGAATGTTCCACTCTGTGACTTCAATGCAAACAACACTAAGAGGTTTCTGAGAATGCTTCTGTCTAGATTTTATATGAAGATATTCCTGTTTCCATCGAAATCCACAAATCTATCCAAATATCCACATGCTGTTTCTACAAAAAGAGTGTTCGAACACTGCTCTATCAAAAGAAAGGTTCAAATCTGTTAGTTGAGTACACACATCACAAACTAGTTTCTGAGAATTCTTCTGTTTATTTTTTATGGGAAGATATTTCCTTTTTCAGCATAGGCCTGAAAATGCTCCAAATGTCCACTTCCAGATACTACAAAAGTGTGTTTCAAACTTGCTCTGTGAAATGGAATGTTCAACTCTGTGACTTGAATGCAAACGTCACTAAGAAGTTTCTGAGAATGTTTCTGTGTAGATTTTATGTGAATAAATTCCCCTTTCCAACGAAATCCTCAAAGCTATACAAATATCCACTAGCAGATTCTACAAAAAGAGTGTTTCAAAACAGCTCTATCAAAAGAAATGTTGAACTCTGTTAGTTGAGTAGACACATCACAAACTAGTTTCTGAGAATTCTTCTGTCTAGTTTTTATGGGAAGATATTTCCATTTTCACCATATGCCTCAAAGCGCTCCAAATGTCCACTTCCAGATACTACAAAAAGTGTGTTTCAAACCTGCTCTATTACAGGGAATGTTCAACTCTGTGAGTTGAATGCAAACATCACAAAGATGTTTCTCACAATGCTTCTGTCTAGATTTTATATGAAGATATTCCCGTTTCCAATTGCATTCAACTCCCAGAGTTGGAACTTCCTTTTCATAGAGTAGTTTTCAAAGACTCTTTTTGTAGAATCTGCAAGTGGTCATTGGAAGCACTTCGAGGCCTTCGTTTGAAATCGGAATACCTTCACATAAAAACTAGACAGAATCATTATCAGAAACAAGTTTGTTCTTGTTGAACCCTTCTTTTGATAGAGCTGTTTTGAAGCACACTATTTTCAGGATCTGCAACTGGACATTTGGTGTGCTTTGAGGCCTATGGTGAAAAAGTAAATATCATAACATAAAAGCTAGACAGAAGCATTCTGAGAATCTTCTTTGTGATGTGTGTATTCAACTCACAGAGTTGAACTTTTCCTTGATAGAGCAGATTGGAAACTCTTTTTGTAGAATTTGCAAGTGGATATTTGGACAGCATTGAGGCCTTCGCTGGAAACAGGAATATCTTCACATAATAACAAGACAGAAGTATTCTCAGAAACTTCTTTGTGATGTGCTCCCTCAACTCACGGAGTTTAACATTTCTTTTGATAGAGCAGTTTTGAACCACTCTCTTTGTAGTATCTGCAAGTGGATATTTGATCGCTTTGAGAATTTCGATGGAAACGGGAATATTTTCACATAAAAACTAGGCAGAAGCATTCTCAGAAACTTCTTTGCGATGCTAGCATTCAACTCACAGAGTTGAACATTCGTTTTCATAGAGCAGTATTGAAACACTCATTTTGTAGAATCTGTAAGTGCAAACTTGGTGTGCTTCATAACCAATGGTGAAAAAAGAAATATGTTACCATAAAAACTAGACAGAAGAATTCTCAGAAATTTCTTGTGCTGGGTGTACTCAACTCACAAAGTTGAACTTTTGTTTTGATAGAGCAGTTTTGAAACTCTCTTTTGGAGAGTCTGCAAGTGGATATTTGGATAGCTTTGAGGATATCGTTGGAAACGTGAATATCTTCAAATAAACACTAGATGGAAGAATTTTCAGAAACTTCTTTGTGATGTTTGCATTCATCTCACAGAGCTGAACATTCCTTTTCGTAGAACAGTTTTGAAACACTCTTTTTGTAGAATCTGCAAGTGGACATTTGAACCGATTTCAGACCCATGGTGAAAAAGGAAATATCTTCACATGAAAAGTAGACAGAAGCATTCTCAGAAACTAATTTGTGATGTGAGTACTCAACTCAAAGAGTTAAACCTTACCCTTGATACAGCAGTTTTGAAACACTCTTGTTGCAGAATTTACATGTGCATATTAGGACAGCATTGAGGATTTCTTTGGAAACAGGAACATCTTCACATAAAACTAGACAGAAGCATTCTTAGAAATTTCTTTTTGATGTGTGCATTCAACTCACAGAGTTGAAACTTTATTTTGATAGAGCAGATTGGAAACCATCTTTTTGTAGAATTTGCAGGTGGATATTTGGACAGCTTTGAGGACTTCGCTGGAAACGGGTATATCTTCACATGAAACTAGACAGAAGCCTTCTCAGAAACTTCTTTGTGATGCTTGCATTCAACTCACAGAGTTGAACATTCCTTTTCATAGAACAGTTTTGAAACACTGTTTTTGTAGAATCTGCAAGTGGATATTAGGAAAGCTTTGAGGATTTCGTTGGAATCAGGAATATCTTCATATAAAAACAAGACAGAAGCATTCTCAGAAACTTCTTTGTGACGTGTGCATTCAACTAACAGAGTGGAAACTTTATTTGATACAGCTGATAGGAAACCCTCTTTTTGTAGTATTTGCGATTGGATATTTGGACAGCTTTGAGACCTTCACTGGAAACGGGTATATCTTCACATAAAAACTAGACAGAAACATTCTTAGAAACTTCTTCATGATACTTACATTCAACTCACAGAGTTGAACATTCCTATTCATTGAGCAGTTTTGAAACACTCTTTTTGTAGAATCTGTAAGTGGAAACTTGGAGCGCTTTGAGGCCTATAGTGGGAAAGGAAATATTTTCCCATAAAAACTAGACAGAAGCATTCTCAGAAACTTCTTTGTGGTCTGTGTACTCAAATCACAGGGTTCAACTTTTCTTTAGATAGAGCAGTTTTGAAACACTCTTTTTGTAGAGTCTGAAAGTGGATATTTGGATACCTTTGAGAATTTCGTTGGAAAGGGGAATAACTTCACATAAAAACGAGACAGAAGCATTCTCAGAAACTTCCTTGTGATGTTTGCATTTAACTAACGGAGTTGAACATTCCCTTTCATAGAGTAGTTTTGAAGCACTCTTTTTGCAGTATCTGAAAGTGGACATTTGGAGTGCTTTGAGGCCTAAGGTGAAAATGGAAATATCTTCACATAAAAACTCTACAGAAGCATTCTCAGAAACTTCTTTGTGATGTGTGCATTCAACTCACAGAGTTGAAACTTTCTTTTGATAAAGCCGATTGGAAACCCACTTTTTGGAGAATTTGCAAGTGGATATTTGGACAGCTTTGAGGCCTTTGCTTTAAACGGTTATATCTTCACATAAAAACTAGAAAGAAGCATTCTCAGAAACTTCTTTGAGATGCTTGCATTCAACTCACAGAGTTGAACACTACTTTTCCTATAGCAGTTTTGAAACACCCTTTTTGTAGAATCTGTAGGTGGAAACTTGGAGCCCTTTGAGGCCTATTGTGAAAAAGGAAATATCTTCCTAGAAAAACTAGACAGAAGGATTCTCAGAAGCTTCTTCGTGATGTGTGTATTCAACTCACAGCGTTGAACTTTTCTTTTGATAGAACAGCTTTGACACACTCTTTTTGTAGAGTCTGCAAGTGTATATTTGTATAGCTTTGAGGCTTTCTTTGGAAACGGGAATATCTTCACATAATAACTAGACAGAAGCCCTCTCAGAAATTTCTTTGTGATGTTTGCATTCAACTAGCAGTGTTGAACGTTCATTTTCATAGAGCAGTTTTGAAACACTATTTTTGTAGAATCTGCAAGTGGACATTTGGAGCGACTTTAGACCTATGGTGGAAAAGGAATTATCTTCACATGAAAAGTAGACAGAAGCATTCTCAGAAACTATTTGTGGTGCGTGTATTTAACTCAGAGAGTTAAACATTTTCTTTGATACAGCAGTTTTGAATCACCATTCTAGTAGGATTTACAAGTGGATATTATGACAGCACTGAGGATTTCATTGGAAACGGGAATATCTTCACATAAGACTAGACAGAAGCATTCTCAGAAACTTATTTGTGATGTGTGCATTCAACTCACAGAGTTGAAAATTTCTTTTGATAGAGCAGATTGGAAACACTCTTTTTGTAGAATTTGCAATTGGATATTTGGACAGCATAGAGGACTTTGCTGGAAAAGGATATATCTTCACATAAAAACTAGACAGAAGCGTTCTCAGAAACTACTTTGTGATGCTTGCATTCAACTCACAGAGTTGAACATTCCTCTTCATAGAGCAGTTTTGAAACACTCTTTTTGTAGGATCTGTAAGTGGAAACTTGGAGCGATTTGAGGCCTATGGTGAAAAAGGAAATATCCTCTCATAAAAACTAGACAGAAGCATCCTCAGAAACTTCTTTGTGATGATTGCCTTCAACTCACTGAGTTTAACATTCCCTTTCATAGAGCAGTTTTGAAACACTCTTTTTGTAGTAACTGGAATTGGACATATGGAGCGCTTTGAGGCCTGTGGTGAAAAAGGAAATATATTCACATAAAAACTAGACAGAAGCATTCTCAGAAACTTCTTTGGAATGTGTGCCCTCAACTCACAGACTTGAACATTTCTTTTGATACATCAGTTTTGAAACACCCTTTTGGTAGAATCTGCAAGTGAATATTTGAATAGCTATGAGGCTTTTGTTGGAAAAGGGAATATCTTCACATAAAAACTAGAAAGAAGCATTCTCAGAAACTTCTTTGTGATGCTTGCATTCAACTCACAGAGTTGAACATTCCATTTCATATAGCAGTTTTGAAACACTCTTTTTGTAGAATCTGTAAGTGAAAACTTGGAGCGCTTTGAGGCCTATGTTGAAAAAGGATATATCTTCCCATAAAAACTAGACAGATGAATTCTCAGAAACTTCTTTGTGATGAGTGAACCCAACTCACAGAATTGAACTTTTCTTTTGATACAGCAGTTTTGAAACACTCTTTTTGTAGTGTCTGCAAGTGGATATTTGGATATATTTGAGGATTTCGTTGGGAACGGGGATATCCTCACATAAAAACTAGACAGAAGCATTCTCAGAAACTTCTTTCTGATGTTTGCATTCAACTCACAGAGTTGAACATTCTCTTTCATAGAGCAGTTTTGAAACACTCTTTTTGTAGTATCTGGAAGTGGACACTTGGAGTGCTTTGAGGCCTATGGTGAAAAAGGAAATATCCTCCCATAAAAACTAGACAGAAGAATTCTCAGAAACTTCTTTGTGATGTGTGTACTCAGCTCACAGAGTTGAAATTTTCTTTTGATAGAGCAGTTTTGAAACACGCTTTTTGTAGAGTTTGCAAGTGGATACTTGGTTAGGTTTTTGGATTTCATTGGAAACGGGAATATCTTCACGTAAAATCTAGAAAGAAGCTTTCTCAGATACTTCTTTTTGATGTTTGCATTCATCTCACACAGTTCAACATTCCCTTTAATAGAGCAGTTTTGAAACACTCCTTTGTAGTATCTGGAAGTGGACGTTTGGTGCGATTTGACACATATGGTGAAAAAGGAAATATCTTTACATAAAAAGTAGAAAGAAACATTATCAGAAACTACTTGGTGATGTGTGTACTCAACTCACAGAGTTAAAACTTTCCTTTGACACGGCAGTTTTGAAGCACTCCTCTTGTAGTATTTACAAGTGGATATTAGCACAGTATTGAGGATTTCCTTGGAAACGGGAATATCTTCACATAAAAGTAGACAGAAGCATTCTCAGAAACTTCTTTGCGATTTGCGCATTAAACTCACAGAGTTGAAAGTTTCTGTAGATAGAGCAGATTGCAAACTATCTTTTTGTAGAATTTGCAAATGGATATTTGGAAGCTTTGAGGTTTTCGCTGGAAACGGGTATATCTTCATATAAGTACCAGACAGAAGCATTCTCAGAAACTTCTTTGTGATGCTGGCATTCAACTCACAGAGTTGAACATTCCTTTTCATAGAGCAGTTCTGAAACTGTCTTTTTGTAAAATGCGCAAGTGGAAACTTGGAGCACTTTGAGGCCTATGCTTAAAAAGGAAATATCTTCCCATAAAAGCTACACAGAAGAATTCTCAGAAACTGCTTTGTGATGTGTGTACTCAACACACACAGGTGAACTTTTCTATTGATAGAGCACTTTTGAAATACTCTTTTTGTAGAATCTGCAAGTGGATATTCGGATAGTTTTGAGGCTTTCGTTGGAAACGGGAATATCTTCACATAACTAGGCAGAAGCATTCTCAGAAACTTCTTTGTGATGCTTGCATTCAACTCACAAAGTTGAACATTCTCTTTCATAGAGCAGTTTTGAAACACTCTTTTTGTAGTATCTGGAAGTGGACATTTGGAGAGCTTTGAGGCCTATGGTGAAAAAGGAAATATCTTCACATGAAAATTAGACAGAAGCATTCTCAGAAACTTCTTTGTGATGTGGGTACTCAACTGACAGAGCTGAAACTTACTTTTGATACAGCATTCTTGAACCTCTCTTTTTGTAGGATCTGCAAGTGGATATTTGGATAGCTTTGAGGCTTTCATTGGAAATGGGAATATCTTCACATAAAAACTAGACAGAAGCATTCTCAGAAACTTCTTTGTGATGTGTGTACTCAACTCACAGATTTGAACCTTTCTTTTGATACAGCTGTTTTGAAACACTCTTTTTGTAGAATCTGCAAGTGCATATTTGGATAGCTTCGAGTCTTTCATTGGAAATGGGAATATCTTCACATAAAAACTAGACAAAAGCATTCTCAGAAACTTTTTTGTGATGCTTGCATTCAACTCACAAAGTTGAACATTCCTTTTCATAGAGCACTTTTGATACACTCTTTTTTTGAATCTGTAAGTGGAAACTTTGATCCTTTTGAAGCCTATGGTGAAAAAGGAAATATCTTCCGAGAAAAACTAGACAGAAGAATTCTCAGAAACTTCTTCGTGATGTGTGTACTCAACTCACAGAGTTGAAGTTTTCCTTTAATAGAGCAGTTTTGAAACTCTCTTTTTGTAGAGTCTGCAAGTGGATATTTGGATAGCTTTGAGAATTTCGTTGGAAACGGGATTATCTTCACATAAAAACTAGACAGAAACATTCTCAGAAAGTTCCTTGTGATGCGTGCATTCAACTCACAGAGTTGAATATTGCTTTTCATGGAGTAGTATTGAAAACTCTTTTTGTATAATGTGTAAGTGGAAACTTGGAGCGCTTTGAGGCCTATGGAGAAAAAGGAGATATCTTCCCATAAAAACTAGACAGAAGAATTCTCAGAAACTTCTTTGTGATGAATGTACTCAACTCACAAAGTTGAAATTTTCTTTTGATAGAGCAGTTTTGAAACACTCTTTTTGTAGAATCTGCAAGTGGTTATTTTTTATATCTTTGTGGATTTCATTGGAAACGGGAATATCTTCACGTAAAAACTAGACAGAAGGATTCTCAGAATCTTCTTTGTGACGTTTGCATTCATCTCAGAGAGTTGAACATTCCCTTTCAGACAGCAGTTTTGAAACACTCTTTTTGTAGTATCTGGGAGTGAACATTTGAGCACTTTGAGGCCTATGGTGAGAAACGAAATATCTTCACATAAAAATTAGACAGAAGAATTCTCAGGAACTTCTTGTGATGTGTGTACTCAACTCACAGACTTGAACCTTTCTTTTGTTACAGCAGATTGAAAAACTCTTTTTGTAGAATCTGCAAGTGGACATTTGGAGCAGTTTGAGACCTATGGTGAAAAGGGAAATATTTTCACATAAAAAGTAGACAGAATAATTCTCAGAAACTTCCTTGTGATGCTTGCTTTCAACTCACAGAGTTGAACATTCCCTTTCATAGAGTAATTTTGAAACACTCTTTTTGTAGTATCTGGAAGTGGATTTTTGGAGCGATTTGAGACCTATGGTGTAAAAGGAAATATCTTCACATAAAAAAGTAGACAGAAGCATTCTCAGAAGCGACTTTGTGATGTGTGTACTCAACTTACAGAGTTAAAACTTTCCTTTGATACAGCAGTTTTCAAACACTCTTGTTTTAGAATTTAAAAGTGGGTATTAGAACTGCATTGAGGATTTCATTGGAAAGGGGATTATCTTCACATAAAACTAAACAGAAGCATTTTCAGAAACTTCTTTGTGATGTGTGCATTCAACTCACACAGTTAAAACTTTCTTTTGGTAGAGCAGATTGGAAATACTCTTTTTGTAGAATTTGCAAGTGGATATTTTGACAGCTATGGGGCCTTCACTGGAAACGGGTATATCTTCACATAAAAAGAAGACAGAAGAATTCTCACAAACTTCTTTGTGATGCTTGCATTCAACTCACAGAGTTGAGCATTCCTTTTCATAGAACAGTTTTGAAACACTCTTTTTGTAGAATCTGTAAGTGGAAACTTGGAGACCTTTGTGTCCAATGGTGGAAAAGGAAATATCTTCCCATAAAAACGAGATAGAAGAATTCTCAGGAACTTATTTTGGAGGTGTGTACTGAACTCATACAGTTGAACTTTTCTTTTGATAGAGCAGTTTTGAAACACTCTTTTTGCATAGTCTGCAAGTGGATATTTGGTTAGCTTTGAGGATTTCGTTGGAAACGGAATATCTTAACATAAAAACTAGACAGAAACATCCTGAGAAACTTCTTTGTGATGCTTGCATTCAACTCACAGAGCTGAACATTCCCTTTCATAGAGCAGTTTTGAAACACTGTTTTTGTAGTATCTGGAAGAGGACATTTGAAGTGCTTTGAGGCCTATGGTGAAAAAGGAAATATCTTCACATAAAAACTAGACAGAAGCATTCTCAGAAACTACTTTGTGATGTGTGTACTCAACTTACAGAGTTAAAACTTTCCTTTGATACGGCAGTTTTGAAACACTCTTGTTGTAGAATTTACAAGTGGATATTAGGACAGCTTTGGGGATTTCGTTGGAAAGGGGAATATCTTCACATAAAACTAAACAGAAGCATTTTCAGAAACTTTTTGTGATGTGTGCACTCAACTGACAGAGATGAAACTTTCATTTGATAGAGCAGATTGGAAATACTCTTTTAGTAGAATTTGCAAGTGGATATTTGGACAGCTTGAAGCCTTCGCTGGAAACGGGTATATCTTCACATATAAACAAGACAGAAGCATTCTCAGGAACTTCTTTGTGATGCTTGCATTCAACTGACAGAGTTGAGCATTCCTCTTCATAGAACAGATTTGAAACACTCTTTTTGTAGAATCTGTAAGTGGAAACTTGGAGCCCTTTTTGTCCAAAGGTGAAAAAGGAAATATCTTCCCATAAAACTAGACAGAATTCTCAGGAACTTCTTTGTGATGTGTGTACTGAACTCATAGTGTTGAACTTTTCTTTTGATAGAGCAGTTTTGAAACACTCTTTTTGTAGAGTCTGCATGTGGATATTTGGATAGCTTTGAGGATTTCGTTGGAAACAGAATATCTTAACATAAAAGCTAGACAGAAGCATCCCGAGAAACTTCTTTGTGATGCTTGAATTCAACTCACAGAGTTGAACATTCCCTTTCATAGAGCAGTTTTGAAAAACTCTTTTTGCAGTATCTGGAAGGGGACATTTGGAGCGCTTTGAGGCCTATGGTGAAAAAGGACTATCTTCACATAAAAACTAGACAGAAGCATTCTCAGAAACTTCTTTGTGATGTATGTACTCAACTCACAGAGTCGAAGCTTTCTTTTGATACCACAGTTTTGAAACAATTTTTTTTGTAGAATCTGCAATTGGATATTTGGATAACTTTGAGGTTTTCAATGGAAACGGGAATATCTTCACATAAAAACTAGACAGAAGCATTGTCAGAAACTTCTTTGTGATGCTTGCATTCAACTCACAGAGTTGAACATTCCTTTTCATAGAGTAGTTTTGAAACACTTTTTTTTATTATCTGGGAGTGGACATTTTGACAGCTTTGTGGCTCATCGTGAAAAAGGAAATATCTTCACATTAAAAGTAGACAGAAGCATCTCAGAAACTTCTTTGTGATGTGGGTACTCAGCTCACACAGTTGAACCTTTCTTTTGATACAGTAGTTTTGAAACACTCTTTGTGTAGAATCTGCAAGTGGATATTTGGATAGCTTTGAGGATTTCGTTGGAAACGGGAATATCTTCACATAAAAACTAGACAAAAGCATTCTCAGAAACTTCTTTGTGATGCTTGCATTCAACTCACAGAATTGAACATTCCTTTCCATAGAGCAGTTTTGAAACAATCTTTTTGTAGAAATTGTAAGTGGAAACGTGAAGTGCTTTGAGGCCTGTGGTGAAAAAGGAAATATCTTCCCATAAAAACTAGACAGAAGAATTCTCAGAAACTTCTTTGTGATATGTGTACTCAACTCAAAGAGCTGAAGTTTTCTTTTGATAGAGCAGTTTGAAACACTCTTTTTGTACAATCTGTAAGTGGATATAAGGATAGCTTTGTGGATTTCGTTGGAAACGGGAATACCTTCATATAGAAACTAGACAGAAGCATTCTCAGAAACTACTTTGTGATTTTTCCATTCAACTCACAGAGTTGAACATTCCCTTTCATAGAGCAGTTTTGAAACACTCTTTTTGTAGTATCTGGAAGTATACATTTGGAGTGTATTAAGGCCTGTGGTGAAAAAGTATATATCTTCACATAAATACCAGACAGAAGCATTCTCAGAAACTTCTTTGTGATGTGTGTACACAACTCATAGAGTTGAACCTTTCTTTTGATGCAGCAGTTTTGAAACACTCTTATTGTAAAATCTGCAAGTGAATATTTGGATAGCTCTGAGGCTTTCGTTTGAAACAGGAATATCTTCACGTAAAAACTAGACAGAAGCATTCTCAGAAAGTTCTTTGTGATGCTTGCATTCAACTCACAGAACTGAGCATTCCTTTTCATAGAGCAGTTTTGATACACTCTTTTTGTAGAGTCTGTAAGTGTAAACTTGGAGAGATTTGAGGCCTATGGTGAAAAAGGGAATATCTTCACATAAAAACTGGACAGAATAATTCTCAGAAACTTCTTTGTGATGCTTGCATTCAACTCACTGATTTGAAAGATTCTTTTGATAGACCAATTGTGATACACTCTTTTTGTAGAGTCTGCAAGTGGATATTTGGATTGTTTTGAGGATTTCATTGGAAACTGGAATATCTTCACTTAAAAACTAGACAGAAACATTCTCAGAAACTTCCTTGTGTTGTTTGCATTCAACTCACCGAGTTGAACATTCCCTTTCATTGAGCAGTTTGAGACACTCTTTTTGTAGTATCTGGAAAGGGACATTTGGAGCGATTAAAGACCTATTGTGAAAAAGGAAATATCTTCCCATAAAAACTAGGCAGAAGCATTCTCAAAAACTAATTTGTGATGTGTGTACTCAACTCACAAAGTTAAACCTTTCATTTGATACAGCAGTTTTGAAACACTCTTCTTGTAGAATTTACAGGTGGATATTAGAACAGCATTGTGGATTTCATTGGAAATGGGAATATCTTCACATAAAACTAGACAGAAGCATTCCCAGAAACTTCTTTGTGATGTGTGCATTCAACTCACAGAGTTGAAACTTTCTTTTGATAGAGCAGATTAGAAACACTCTTTTTGTAGAATTTGCAAGTGGATATTTGGACAGCTTTGAGGCCTTCGCTGGAAACGGTTATATCTTCACATAAAAACTAGACCCAGAAGCATTCTCAGAAACTTCTTTGTGATGCTTGCATTCAACTCACAGAGTTGAGCATTCCTTTTAATAGAGCAGTTTTGAAACATTCTTTTTGTAGAATCTGTAAGTGGAAACTTGGAGTACTTTGAGGCCTATGGTGAAAAAGGAAATATCTTCCCATAAAACTAGGCAGAAGAAATCTCAGAAACTTCTTTGTGATATGTGTACTCAACTCACAGAGTTGAACTTTTCTTTTGATAGAGCAGTTTGAAACACTCTTTTTTTATTATTATTATACTGTAAGTCTTAGGGTACATGTGCACATTATTCATGTTAGTCACATATGTATACATTCCATGCTGGTGCGCTGCACACACTAACTCGTCATCTAGAACTAGGTATATCACTCAATGCTATCCCTTCCCCCTCCCCCCACCCCACAACAGTCCCCAGAGTGTGATATTCCCCTTCCTGTGTCCATGTGATCTCATTGTTCAATTCCCACCTATGAGTGGAATATGCGGTGTTTGGTTTTTTGTTGTTACGATAGTTTACTGAGAATGATGATTTCCATTTTCATCCGTGTCCCAACAAAGGACATGAACTCATCATTTTTTATGGCTGCATAGTATTCCACGGTGTATATGTGTTAGGTTTTCTTAATCCAGTCTATCATTTTTGGACATTTGCGTTGGTTCCAAGTCTTTGCTATTGTGAATAATGCCGCAATAAACATACTTGTGCTTGTGTCTTTATAGCAGCATTCTTTATAGTCCTTTGGGTATATACCCATTAATGGGATGGCTTGGTCAAATGGTATTTCTAGTTCTAGATCCCTGAGGAATCGCCACACTGAATTCCACAATGGTTGAATTAGTTTACAGTCCCACCAACAGTGTAAAAGTGTTCCTATTTCTCCACATCCTCTCCAGCACTTCTTGTTTCCTGACTTTTTAATGGTTACCATTCTAATTGGTGTGAGATGGTATCTCATTGTGGTTTTGATTTGCATTTCTCTGATGGCCAGTGATGATGAGCATTTTTTCATGTGTTTTTTTGACTGCTTAAATATCTTCTTTTGAGAAGTGTCTGTTCATGTTCTTCGCCCACTTTTTGATGGGGTTTTTTGTTTTTTCTTGTAAATTTGTTTGAGCTCATTGTAGATTCTGGATATTAGCCCTTTGTCAGATGAGTAGGTTGTGAAAACTTTCTCCCATTTTGTAGGTTGCCTGTTCAATCTGATGGTAGTTTCTTTTGGTGGCATCACACTATCTGACTTCAAACAATACTACAAGGCTACAGTTACCATAACAGCATGGTACTGGTACCAAAACAGAGATGTAGATCAATGGAAGAGAACACAGCCCTCAGAAATAATGCCACATATCTACAAATAACTGATCCTTGACAAACTTCAGAAAAACAAGCAATGGGGAAAGGATTCCCTATTTAATAAATAGTGCTGGGAAAACTGGCTAGCCATATGTAGAAACCTGAAATTGGATCCCTTCCTTACACCTTATACAAAAATAAATTCAAGATTGATAAAAGACTTAAACGTTACCCCTAAAACCATAAAAACCATAGAAGAAAACCTAGGCATTACCATTCAGGACATAGGCATGGGCAAGGACTTCATGTCTAAAACACCAAAAGCAATGGCAACAAAAGAAAAAACTGACAAATGGGATCTAATGAAACACTCTTTTTGTAGAATCTGCAAGTGGATATTTGGATAGCTTTGAGGATTTCATTGGAAACGGGAATATTTTCACATAAACACTAGACAGAAACATTCTCAGAAACTTCTCTGTGATGTTTGCATTCAACTCAAAGAGTTTAACATTCCTTTTCATAGAGCAGTTTTGAAACACTCTTTTTATAGGATCTGCAAGTAGACATTTTATGCAATGTGAGACCTATGGTGAAAAAATAAATATCTTCACGTAAAAAGTAGGCAGAGTCGTTCTCAGAAACTACTTTCTGATGCGCATACTCAACTCAAAGAGTTAAACCTTTCCTTTGTTACAGCAGTTTTGAAAAACTCTTCTTGCAGAATTAACAAGTGGATATTAGGACAGCAGTGAGGACTTCGTTGGAAATGGGAATAACTTCACATAAATCTAGAGAGAAGGATTCTCAGAAACTATTTTGGAATGTTTGCATTCAGCTCACTGTTTTGAAACTTGCCTTTGATAGAGCAGATTTGAAAGAATTTTTTTGTAAAATTTGCAAATGGATATTTGGAACATTTTGAGGCCTTCGCTGGAAACGGGTATATCTTCACATAAAAACTAGACAGAATCATTCTCAGTAACTTCTTTGTGATGTGTGTACTCAACTCACAGAGTTGAACTTTTCTTTAGATAGAGCAGTTTTGAAACACTCTTTTTATAGGGTCTGCAAGTGGATATTTGTTTAGCTGGGAGGATTTTGTTGGAAAAGGGAATATCTTCACATAAATACTAGACAGAAGCTTTCTCAGAAACTTCTTTGTGATGTCTGTACTCAACTCACATAGTTCAACCTCTCATTTGATACGGCAGTTTTGAAACACTCTTCTTGTAGAATCTGCAAGTGGGTATGTGGATAGCTTTGAGGCTTTCCTTGGAAACGGGAATATCTTCACATAAAAACTAGAGAGAAGCATTCTCAGAAACTTCTTTGTGACGTTTGCATTCAACTCACATAGTTGAACATTCCTTTTTATACAGCAGTTTTGAAACACTCTTCTTGTGAAATCTGCAAGTGGACATTTGGAGCGATTTGATACCTATGGTGAAAAAGGAAATATCTTCACATAAAAATTGGACAGAAGCATTCTCAGAAACTACATTGTGATGGGTGTACTCAACTCACAGAGTTAAACCTTTCCTTTGATACACTAGTTTTGAAACACTGTTCTTGTAGACTTTACAAGTGGATATTTGGACAGCTTTGCGTATTTCGTTGGAAACGTGAATATCTTCACATAAAAACTAGACAGAAGCATTCTGAGAAACTATTTTGTGATGTTTGCATTCAACTCTTGGGGTTGAACATTCACTCTCAAAGAGCAGTTTTGAAACACTCTTTTTGTAGTATCTGGAAGTGGACATTTGGAGCGCTTTGAGTCTCATGGTGAAAAAGCAAATATCTTCACATAAAAATTACACAGAAGCATTCTCAGAAACTTCTTGGTGATGCTTGCATTCAACCCACTGAGTTGAACATTCCTTTTCATAGAGCAGTTTTGAAGGACTCTTTTTGTAGAATCTGGAAGTGGAAACTTGGAGCGCTTTGAGGCCTATGGTGAAAAAGGAAATATCTTCACATAAAAGCTAGACAAAAGAATTCTCAGAAACTCCTTTGTGATGTGTGTACTCAACTCACAGAGTTGAACTTTTCTTTTGATAGAGCAGTTTTGAAACACTCTTTTTGTAGAATTTCCAAGTGGATATTTGGATACGTTTGAGGATTTCCTTGGAAATGGGAATATCTTCACATAAAAACTAGACCGAAGCATTCTCAGAAACTCCTTTGTGATGTTTGCATTCAACGCACAGAGTTGAAAATTCCCTTTCATAGAGCAGTTTTGAAACACGCCTTTTGTAGAATCTGCAAGTGGACATTTGGTTCGATTTGAGACCTAGTTTGAAAAAGGAAATATCTTCACATAAAAAGTAGACAGAAGCATTCTCAGAAGCTACTTTTTGATGTGTGTACTCAACTCACAGAGTTAAACTCTTCCTGTGATACAGCAGATTTTAAAAACTCTTCTTTTGGAATTTACAAGTGCATATTTGTACAACATTGAGGATTTCGTTGGAATCGGGAATATCTTCACATAAAACTAGAGAGAAGCATTCTCAGAAGCTTCTTTGTGATGTGTGCATTCAACTCACTGACTTTAAACTTTCCTTTTTTATAGCAGATTGGAAATATTCTTTTTGTAGAATTTCCAATTGGCTATTTGGACAGTTTTGAGGCCTTCGCTGGAAAATCTATATCTTCACATAAAAACTGGACAGAAGAATCCTCAGAAACTTCTTTGAGATGCCTGCATTCAACTCACAGAGTTGAACCCTCCTTTTCTTAGAGCAGTTTAGAAACACTCTTTTTGTAGAATCTGTAAATGGAAACATAGAGCGATTTGAAGCCTATGATGAAAAAGGAAATATCTTCCCATGAAAACTGGACAGAAGAATTCTCAGAAACCTCTTTGTGATGTGTGTATTAAAATCGCAGAGTTGAATTTTTCTTTTGATAGAGCAGTTTTGAAACGCTCTTTTTGTAGGGTCTGCAAGTGGATATTAGGATAGCTGGGAGGATTTCATTGGAAACGGGAATACATTCACATAAATACTAGACAGAAGCATTCTCAGAAACTTCTTTGTGATGGGTGTACTAAACTCACAGAGTTGGACTTTTCTTTTGATAGAACAGTTTTGAAACACACTTTTTGTAGAGTCTGCAAGTGGATATTTGTATAGCTTTGAGGATTTCGTTGGAAACGGGAATATCTTTACATAAAAAATAGATAGAAGCATTCTCAGAAACTTCTTTGTGATGCCTGCATTCAACTCACTGAGGTGAACATTCCTTTTCATAGAGCAGTTTTGAAACACTCTTTTTGTAGTATC
Organism: Homo sapiens; assembly: GCF_000001405.40. NCBI lineage: Eukaryota > Metazoa > Chordata > Mammalia > Primates > Hominidae > Homo > Homo sapiens. Next base: position 45,729 of record NT_187394.1, on the reverse strand, counting down.
TGTAAGTGGAAACTTGGAGTGCTTTGAGGCCTATGGTGAAAAAGGAAATATCTTCCCATAAAAACTAGAGAAAATAATTCCCAGAAACTTCTTTGTGATGTGTGTACTCAACTCACAGAGTTGAACATTTCTTTTGATAAAGGAGTTTTGCCACACTCTTTCTGTAGAGTCTGCAAGTGGATATTTGCATAGCTTTGAGGATTTCATTGGAAACGGGAATATCTTCACATAAAAACTAGACAGAGGCATTCTCAGAAACCTCTTTGTGATGTTCGCATTCAACTCACAGAGTTGAACATTCCCTTTCATATAGCAGTTTTGAAACACTCTTTTTGTAGTGTCTGAAAGTGGACATTTGGAGCGCTTTGAGGCCTGTGGTGAAAAAGGAAATATCTTCCCATAAAAACTAGACAGAAGAATTCTCAGAAACATCTTTGCGATGTGTGTACTCAACTCACATAGTTGAACTCTTCTTTTCACAGAGCAGTTTTGAAACACTCCTTTTGTAGGCTCTGCAAGTGGATATTTGGATAGCTGTGAGGCTTTCGTTGGAAACGGGAATATCTTCATATTAAAACTAGACAGAAGCAATCTCAGAAACTTCTTTGTGATGTTTGCATTCAGCTCACAGAGTTGAACATTCCCTTTCATAGAGCAGTTTTGAAACACTCTTTTTGTTGTATCTGGAAGTGGACATTTGGAAAGCTTTGATGCCTGCAGTGAAAAAGGAAATATCTTCACGTAAAACCAGACAGAAGCATTCTCAGAAGCTTCTTTGTGATGTGTGTACTCAACTCATAGAGTTAAACTTTTCTTTTGATACAGCAGGTTTGAAACACTGTTCTTCTAGACTTTACCAGTGGATATTAGGACAGCTTTGAGTGTTTCGTTGGAAACGGAAATATCTTCAAATAAAAACTAGACAGAAGCATTCTCAGAAACTGCTCTGTGATGTTTGCATTTAACTCTGGGAGTTGAACATTCCCTTTCAAAGAGCAGCTTTGAAAAATCCTTTTTGTGGTATCTGGAAGTGGACATTTGGAGCGCTTTGAGTCCTGTGGTGAAAAGGAAATATCTTCACATAAAAACTGGACAGAAGAATTCTCCGAAACTACTTTGTGATGTGTGTACTCAACTAACACAGTTGAACCATTCTTTTGATAGAGCAGTTTCGAAACACTCTTTTAGTAGAATCTGCAAGTGGATATTTGGATAGCTTTGAGGCTTTTGTTGGAAACGGGAATATCTTCACATAAAAACTAGACAGAAGCATTCTCAGAAACTTCTTTGTGATGCTTGCATTGAACTCACTGAATTGAACATTCCGTTTCATAGAGCAGTTTTGAAACATTCTTTTTGGAGAATCTGTAAGTGTAATCTTGGAGCACTTTGAGGTCTTCGGTGAAAAAGGAAATATCTTCCCATAAAAACTGGACAGAAAAATTCTCAGAAACTTCTTTGTGATGTGTGTACTCAACTCACAGAGTTAAACCTTTCCTTTGTTACAGCAGTTTTGAAACACTCTTCTTGTTGTATTTACAAGTGGATATTAGTACAGCACTGTGGATTTCATTGGAAACGGGAATATCTTCACATAAAATTAGAGAGAAGCATTCTCAGAAGCTTCTTTGTGATGTGTGCATTCCACTCATTGATTTGAAACTTTCCTTTGATATAGCTGATTGGAAACACTCTTTTTATAGAATTTGCAAGTGGATATTTGAACAGTTTTGAGGCCTTCGCTGGAAATGTGTATATCTTCACATAGAAACTAGACAGAATAATTCTCAGAAACTTCTCTGTGATGGTTGCATTCAACTCATAGAGTTGAACACTCCTTTCATAGAGCAGGTTTGAAACACTCTTTTTGTAAAATCTGTAAGTGGAAACTTGGAGCGCTTTGAGGCCCATGGTGAAAAAGGAAATATCTTCCCATAAAAACTAGAGAGAAGCATTCTCAGAAACTCCATTGTGATGTGTGTACTCAACTCAAAGAGGTGAACCTTTCTTTTCATACAGCAGGTTTGAAACACTCTTTTTGGAGAATCTGCAAGTGGATATTTGGATAGCTTTGAGGTTTTCGTTGGAAACGGGAATACCGTCATATGAAATCTAGACAGAAGCATTCTGAGAAACATCTTTGTGATGTATGCATTGATGTCACAGAGTTCAACATTCCCTTTCATAGAGCAAGTTTGAAACACTCTTTTTGTAGTATCTGCAAGTGGACATTTGGAGCCCTTTGGGGCCTATGGTGTAAAAGGAAATATCTTCCCTTAAAAACTAGACAGAAGAGTTGTCAGAAACTAGTTTGTGATCTGTGGACTCAACTAACAGAGTTGAACCTTTCTTTTGATAGAGCAGTTTTGAAACACTCCTTTTGTAGAGTCTGCCTGTGGATATTTGGATAGCTTTGAGGATTTTGTTGGAAACGAGAATATCTTCATATAAAATCTAGACAGAAGCATTCTGTGAAACATCTTTGTGATGTTTGCATTCAAGTGAGAGGCGAACATTCCCTTTCATGGAGCAGATTTGAAACACTCTTTTTGTACCATCTGGAAGTGGACATTTGGAGCGCTTTGAGGCCTATGGTGAAAAAGAAAATATCTTCCCATAAAAAGTAGACAGAAGCATTCTCAGAAACTTGTTTGTGATGTGTGTACTCAACTGAGTTGAACCTTTCTTTTGATAGAGTAGTTTTGAAACACTCTTTTTGTAGAATCTGCAAGTGGATATTTGGATAGCTTTGTGGATTTCGTTTTGAACGGGAATATCTTCATATGAAATATAGACAGAAGCATTCTGAGAAACAACTTTGTGATGCTTGCATTCAAGTCACAGACTTGGACATTCCTTTTCATAGAGCAGGTTTGAAACACTCTTTTTGTAGTATTTGGAAGTGGACATTTGGAGCACTTTGAGGCATATGGTGAAAAAGGAAATCTCTTCCATAAAAACTAGACAGAAGCTTTCTCAGAAACCTGTTTGTGATGTGTGTACTCAGGTCACAGAGTTGAACTTTTCTTTTGATAGAGAAGTTTTGAAACACTCTTTTTGTAGAATCTGCAAGTGGATATTTGGATAGTTTGAGGATTTCATTGGAAACGGGAATAACTTCATGTGGAATCTAGAGAGAAGCATTCTGAGAAACATCTTTTTGATGTCTGCATTCAATTCAGAGTTGAACATTCCCTTTCTTTTTTTTTTATTGAATGCATTTTCAGCTTAAGACATTTTCAACTTAATGATGGGCTTCTTTTTTTATTTTATTATTTTTTTTATTTTTTATTGTTTTATTATACTTTCAGTTTTAGGGTAGATGTGCACATTGTGCTGGTTAGTTACATAAGTATACATGTGATATGCTGGTGCACTGCACCCACTAACTTGTCATCTAGCATTAGGTATATCTCCCAATGCTATCCCTCCCCCCTCCACCCACCCCACCACAGTCCCCAGAGTGTGATATTCCCCTTCCTGGGTCCATGTGATCTCATTGTTCAACTCCCACCTATGAGTGAGAATATGCGTTGTTTGGATTTTTGTTCTTGCGATAGTTTAGTTTACTGAGAATGATGATTTCCAATTTCATCCATGTCCTTACAAAGGACATGAAATCATAATTTTTTATGGCTGTATAGTATTCCATGGTGTATATGTGCTACATTTTCTTAATCCTGTCTATCATTGTTGCACATTTGGGTTGGTTCCAAGTCTTTGCTATTGTGAATAATGCCGCAATAACCATACGTGTGCATGTGTCTTTATAGCAGCATGATTTATAGTCCTTTGGGTATATACCCAGTAATGGGATGGCTGGGTCAAATGGTACTTCTAGTTCTAGATCCCT
>NT_187394.1:38402-41851 GCF_000001405.40 Homo sapiens | reverse complement strand
TCTCCAGCACCTGTTGTTTCCTGACTTTTTAATGATTGCCATTCTAACTGGTGTGAGATGATATCTCATAGTGGTTTTGATTTGCATTTCTCTGATGGCCAGTGATGATGAGCATTTTTTCATGTGTTTTTTGGCTGCATAAATGTCTTCTTTTGAAAAGTGTCTGTTCACGTCCTTCACCCACTTTTTGATGGGGTTGTTTTTTTCTTGTAAATTTGTTTGAGTTCATTGTAGATTCTGGATATTAGCCCTTTGTCAGATGAGTAGGTTGTGAAAATTTTCTCCCATTTTGTAGGTTGCCTCTTCACTCTGATGGTAGTTTCTTTTGCTGTGCAGAAGCTCTTTAGTTTAATTAGATCCCATTTGTCAATTTTGTCTTTTGTTGCCATTGCTTTTGGTGTTTTAGACATGAAGTCCTTGCCCATGCCTATGTCCTGAATGGTAATACCTAGGTTTTCTTCTAGGGTTTTTGTGGTTTTAGGCCGAACGTTTAAGTCTTTAATCCATCTTGAATTGATTTTTGTATAAGGTGTAAGGAAGGGATCCAGTTTCAGCTTTCTACATATGGCTAGCCAGTTTTCCCAGCACCATTTATTAAATAGGGAATCCTTTCCCCATTGCTTGTTTTTCTCAGGTTTGTCAAAGATCAGATAGTTGTAGATATGTGGCGTTATTTCTGAGGGCTCTGTTCTGTTCCATTGATCTATATCTGTGTTTTGGTACCAGTACCATGCTGTTTTGGTTACTGTAGCCTTGTATTATAGTTTGAAGTCAGGTACTGTGATGCCTCCAGCTTTGTTCTTTTGGCCTATGATCGACTTGGTGATGCGGGCTCTTTTTTGGTTCCATATGAACTTTAAAGTAGTCTTTTCCAATTCTGTGAAGAAAGTCATTGGTAGCTTGATGGGGATGGCATTGAATCTGTAAATTACCTTGGGCAGTATGGCCATTTTCACAATATTGATTCTTCCTATCCATGATGATGGAATGTTCTTCCATTAGTTTGTATCCTCTTTTATTTCCTTGAGCAGTGGTTTGTAGTTCTCCTTGAAGAGGTCCTTCACATCCCTTGTAAGTTGGATTCCTAGGTATTTTATTCTCTTTGAAGCAATTGTGAATGGGAGTTCACTCACGATTTGGCTCTCTGTTTGTCTGCTGGTGTATAAGAATGTTTGTGATTTTTGTACATTGATTTTGTATCCTGAGACTTTGCTGAAGTTGCTTATCAGCTTAAGGAGCTTTTGGGCTGAGACAATGGGATTTTCTAGATATACAATCATGTCGTCTGCAAACAGGGACAATTTGACTTCCTCTTTTCCTAATTGAATACACTGTATCTCCTTCTCCTGCCTAATTGCCCTGGGCAGAACTTCCAACACTATGTTGAATAGGAGTGGTGAGAGAGGGCATCCCTGTCTTGTGCCAGTTTTCAAAGGGAATGCTTCCAGTTTTTGCCCATTCAGTATGATATTGGCTGTGGGTTTGTCATAGATAGCTCTTATTATTTTGAAATGTGTCCCATCAATACCTAATTTATTGAGAGTTTTTAGCATGAAGCATTGTTGAATTTTGTCAAAGGCTTTTTCTGCATCTATTGAGATAATCATGTGGTTTTTGTCTTTGGCTCTGTTTATATGCTGGATTACATTTATTGATTTGTGTATATTGAACCAGCCTTGCATCCCAGGGATGAAGCCCACTTGATCTTGGTGGATAAGCTTTTTGATGTACTGCTGGATTCGTTTTGCCAGTATTTTATTGAGGATTTTTGCATCAATGTTCATCAAGGATATTGGTCTAAAATTCTCTTTTTTGGTTGTGTCTCTGCCTGGCTTTGGTATCAGAATGATGCTGGCCTCATAAAATGAGTTAGGGAGGATTCCCTCTTTTTCTATTGATTGGAATAGTTTCAGAAGGAATGGTACCAGTTCCTCCTTGTACCTCTGGTAGAATTCGGCTGTGAATCCATCTGGTCCTGGACTCTTTTTGGTTGGTAAGCTATTGATTATTGCCACAATTTCAGATCCTGTTATTGGTCTATTCAGAGATTCAACTTCTTCCTGGTTTAGTCTTGGGAGAGTGTATGTGTCCAGGAATTTATCCATTTCTTCTAGATTTTCTAGTTTATTTGCGTAGAGGTGTTTGTAGTATTCTCTGATGGTAGTTTGTATTTCTGTGGAATCATTGGTGATATCCCCTTTATCATTTTTTATTGTGTCTATTTGATTCTTCTCCCTTTTTTTCTTTATTAGTCTTGCTAGCGGTCTATCAATTTTGTTGATCTTTTCAAAAAACCAGCTCCTGGATTCATTAATTTTTTTGAAGGGTTTTTTGTGTCTCTATTTCCTTCAGTTCTGCTCTGATTTTAGTTATTTCTTGCCTTCTGTTAGCTTTTGAATGTGTTTGCTCTTGCTTTTCTAGTTCTTTTAATTGTGATGTTAGGGTGTCAGTTTTGGATTTTTCCTGCTTTCTCTTGTGGGAATTTAGAGCTATAAATTTCCCTCTACACACTGCTTTGAATGCGTCCCAGAGATTCTGGTATGTTGTGTCTTTGTTCTTGTTGGTTTCAAAGAAGATCTTTATTTCTGCCTTCATTTCGTTATGTACCCAGTAGTCATTCAGGAGCAGGTTGTTCAGTTTCCATGTAGTTGAGTGGTTTTGAGTGAGATTGTTAATCCTGAGTTCTAGTTTGATTGCACTGTGATCTGAGAGATAGTTTGTTATAATCTCTGTTATTATACATTTGCTGAGGAGAGCTTTACTTCCAAATATGTGGTCAATTTTGGAATAGGTGTGGTGTGGTGCTGAAAAAAATGTATATTCTGTTGATTTGGGGTGGAGAGTTCTGTAGATGTCAATTAGGTCCGCTTGGTGCAGAGCTGAGTTCAATTCCTGGGTATCCTTGTTGACTTTCTGTCTCATTGATCTGTCTAATGTTGACAGTGGGGTGTTAAAGTCTCCCATTATTAATGTGTGGGAGTCTAAGTCTCTTTGTAGGTCACTCAGGACTTGCTTTATGAATCTGGGTGCTCCTGTATTGGGTGCATATACGTTTAGGATAGTTAGCTCTTCTTGTTGAATTGATCCCTTTACCATTATGTAATGGCCTTCTTTGTCTCTTTTGATCTTTGTTGGTTTAAAGTCTGCTTTATCAGAGACTAGGATTGCAACTCCTGCTTTTTTTGTTTTCCATTTGCTTGGTAGATCTTCCTCCATCCTTTTATTTTGAGCCTATGTGTGTCTCTGCATGTGAGATGGGTTTCCTAAACACAGCACACTGATGGGTCTTGACTCTTTATCCAATTTGCCAGTCTGTGTCTTTTAATTGGAGCGTTTAGTCCATTTACATTTAAAGTTAATATTGTTATGGGTGAATTGGATCCTGTCATTAGGATGTTAGCTGGTTATTTTGCTCGTTAGTTGATGCAGTTTCTTCCTAGTCTCGATGG
>NT_187394.1:14127-37185 GCF_000001405.40 Homo sapiens | reverse complement strand
GGCTCCTGAGGCTTCTGCATTCTTCACGTAGTTCTCGAGCCTTGGTTTTCAGCTCCATCAGCTCCTTTAAGCACTTCTCTGTATTGGTTATTCTAGTTATACATTCTTCTAAATTTTTTTCAACGTTTTCAACTTGTTTGCCTTTGGTTTGAATGTCCTCCTGTAGCTCAGAGTAATTTGATCATCTGAAGCCTTCTTCTCTCAGCTCGTCAAAGTCATTCTCCATCCAGCTTTGTTCCATTGCTGGTGAGGAACTGTATTCCTTTGAAGGAGGAGAGGCACTCTGCTTTTTAGAGTTTCTAGTTTTTCTGTTCTGTTTTTTCCCCATCTTTGTGGTTTTATCTACTTTTGGTCTTTGATGATGGTGATATACAGATGGGTTTTTGGTGTGGATGTCCTTTCTGTTTGTTAGTTTTCCTTCTAACAGACAGGACCCTCAGCTGCAGGTCTGTTGGAATACCCTGCCTTGAGAGGTGTCAGTGTGCCCCTGCTGGGGGGGTGCCTCCCAGTTAGGCTGCTCAGGGGTCACGGGTCAGGGACCCACTTGAGGAGGCAGTCTCCCCATTCTCAGATCTCCAGCTGCATTCTGGGAGAACCACTGCTCTCTTCAAAGCTGTCAGACAGGGACATTTAAGTCCGCAGAGGTTACTGCTGTATTTTTGTTTGTCTGTGCCCTGCCCCCAGAGGTGGAGCCTACAGAGGCAGGCAGGGCTCCTTGAGCTGTGGTGGGCTCCACCCAGTTGGAGCTTCCTGGCTGCTTTGTTTACCTAAGCAAGCCTGGGCAATGGCGGGCGCCCCTCCCCCAGCCTCACTGCCGCCTTGCAGTTTAATCTCAGACTGCTGTGCTAGCAATCAGGGAGACTCTGTGGGCGTAGGACCCTCCGAGTCAGGTGCGGGATATAATCTCGTGGTGTGCCGTATTTTAAGCTGGTGGGAAAAGCGCAGTATTAGGGTGGGAGTGACCCGATTTTCCAGGTGCTTCCGTCACCCCTTTCTTTGACTGGGAAACGGAACTCCCTGACCCCTTGGGCTTCCCAAGTGAGGCAATGCCTCGCCCTGTTTCAGCTTGCGCAGGGTGCATGCACCCACTGACCTGGGCCGAATGTCTGGCACTCCCTAGTGAGATGATCCTGGTACCTCAGATGGAAATGCAGAAAACACCCGTCTTCTGCGTCGCTCACGCTGGGAGCTATAACTGGAGCTGTTCCTATTCAGCTATCTTGGCTCCTCCCGATGGGTTTCTTCCATTCCTTTTCATAGAGCAGGTTTGAAACACTGTTTTTGTAGTATCTAGGAGTGGACATTTGGAGCGTTTTCAGGCCTATGGTGAAAAAGGAAATATCTTCATATAAAAACTAGACAGAAGCATTCTCAGAAATTTGTGATATGTGTACTGAACTAACAGAGTTGAACCTTTCTTTTGACAGAGCAGTTTTGAAACACTCTTTTTGTACAATCTGCAAGTGGATATTTGGATAGCTTTGAGGATTTCATTGGAAACGGGAATATCTTCATAATAAATCTAGACAGAAGCATTCTGAGAAACATCTTTGTGATGTTTGCATTGAAGTCACAGAGTTGAACATTCCCTTTCATAGAGCAGGTTTCAAACACTCTTTTTGTAGTATCTGGAAGTGGACATTTGGAACGCTTTGAGGCATATGGTGAAAAAGGGAATCTCTTCCCATAAAAAATTGACAGCAGCATTCTCAGAAACTTGTTTGTGATGTGTGTACTCAACTCACAGAGTTGAACCTTTCTTTTGATAGAGGTGTTTTCAAACACTCTTTTTGGAGAAACTGCAAGTGGATATTTGGATAGCTTTGACGATTTCGTTGGAGACGGGAATGTCTTCATATTAAATCTAGACAGAAGCATTCTGAGAAACATGTTTCTGATGTTTGCATTCATGTCACAGAGTTCAACATTCCCTTTCATAGAGCAGGTTAGAAACACTCTTTTTGTAGTATCTGGAAGTGGACATTTGGAGCGCTTTGAGGCATTTGATGAAAAAGGAAATATCTTCCCATGAAAACTAGAGAGAAGAATTCTCCGAAAATAGTTTGTGATGTGTGTACTCAACTAACACAGTTGAACCCTTCTTTTGATAGAGCAGTTTTGAAACACTCTTTTTGTAGAATCTGCAAGTGGATATTTGGATAGCTTTGAGGATTTCATTGGAAATGGGAATATCTTCATATAAAATCTAGAAAGAAGCATTCTCAGAAACCTCTTAGTGATGTTTGCATTGAAGTCACAGAGTTGAACATTCCGTTTCATAGAGCAGTTTTGAAACACACTTTTTGTAGTATCTGGAATTTGACATTTGGAGCGCTTTGAGGCCTATGGTGAAAAAGGAAATATCTTCCCATAATAACTGGCCAGAAGAATTCTCAGAAACTAGTTTGTGATGTGTGTACTCAACTAACACAGTGGAACCTTTCTTTTCATAGAGCAGTTTTGAAACACTCTTTTAGTAGAATCTGCAAGTTGATATTTTGATAGCTTTGAAGATTGCGTTGGAAACGGGAATATCTTCATAGAAAATCTAGACAGAAACATTCTCAGAAACATCTTAGTGATGTTTCCATTCAAGTCACAGAGTTGAACATTCCATTTCATAGAGGACGTTTGAAACACTCTTTCTGTAGTATCTGGAAGTGGACATTTGGAGCGCTTTGGGGCTTTAGGTGAAAATGGAAATATCGTCCCATAAAAACTAGACAGAAGAATTCTCAGAAACTAGCTTGTGATGTGTGTACTCAACTAACAGAGTTGAACATTCCATTTCATAGAGCTGGTTAGAAACAGTCTTTTCGTAGAATCTGCAAGTGGATATTTGGATAGCATTGACGATTTCGTTGGAAACGGGAATATCTTCATATAAAATCTAGACAGAAGCATTCTCAGAAACCTCTTAGTGAAGTTTGCATTCAAGTCACAGAGTTGAACATTCCATTTCATAGAGCAGGTTTGACACAGTCTTTTTGTAGAATCTGCAAGTGGATATTTGGATAGCTTTGACGATTTCTTTGGAAATGGAATATCCTCATATAAAATCTAGACAGAAGCATTCTGAGAAACATCTTTGTGATGTTTGCATTCAACTCACAGTGTTGAACATTCGCTTTCATAGAGCAGGTTTGAAACACTCCTTTTGTAGTATCTGGAAGTGGACATTTGGAGCGCTTTGAGGCCTATGTTGAAAAAGGAAATATTTTCCTTAAAAACTATGCAGAAGAGTTCTCAGAAACTAGTTTGTGATGTGTGTACTCAAGTAACAGAGTTGAAACTTTCTTTCGATAGAGCGGTTTTGAAACACTCTTTTTGTAGAATCTGCAAGTGGATATTTGGATAGCTTTGAGGATTTCGTTGGAAACGGGAATATCTTCATATAAAATCTAGACAGAAGCATTCTCAGAAACCTTAGTGATGTTTGCATTGAAGTCACAGAGTTGAACATTCCATTTCATAGAGCAGGTTTGAAACAGACTTTTTGTAGTATCTGGAAGTTGACATTTGGAGCGCTTTGAAGCCTATGGTGAAAAAGGAAATATCTTCCCATAATAACTAGCCAGAAGAATTCTCAGAAACTAGTTTGTGATGTGTGTACTCAACTAACAGAGTTGAACCTTTCTTTTGATAGAGCAGTTTTGAAACACTCTTTTTGTAGAATCTGCAGGTGGCTATTTGGATAGCTTTGAGGATTTCGTTGGAAATGGGAATATCTTCATATAAAATCTAGACAGAAACATTCTCAGAAACTTCTTAGTGATGTTTCCATTCAAGTCAGAGAGTTGAACATTCCATTTCATAGAGCAGGTTTGAAACACTCTTTCTGTAGTATCTGGCAGTGGACATTTGGAGCGCTTTGGGGCCTATGGTGAAAATGGAAATATCTTCCCATAAAAACTAGACAGAAGAATTCTCAGAAACCAGTTTGTGATGTATGTACTCCACAAACAGATTTGAACCTTTCTTTTGATAGAGCAGTTTTGAGACACTCTTTTTGTAGAATCCACAAGTGGATATTTGGATAGCTTTGACGATTTCATTGGAAACGGAATATCTTCATATAAAATCTAGACAGAAGCATTGTGAGAAACATCTTTGTGATGTTTGCATTCAACTCACAGAGTTGAACATTGCCTCTCATAGAGCAGGTTTGAAACACTCTTTTTGTAGTATCTGGAAGTGAACATTTGGAGCGTTTTGAGGCATATGGTGAAAAAGGGAATCTCTTCCCATAAAAACTAGACAGAAGCATGCTCAGAAACTTGTTTCCCATGTGTGTACTCAACTAACAGAGTTGAGCCTTTCTTTTGATAGAGCTGTTTTGAAACACTGTTTTTGGAGAATCTGCAAGTGGATATTTGGATAGCTTTGAGGATTTCATTGGAAACGGGAATACCTTCATATGAAATCTAGACAGAAGCATTCTGAGAAACATCTTTGTGATGTGTGCATTCATGTCACAGAGTTCAACATTCCCTTTCATAGAGCAAGTTTGAAACACTCTTTTTGTAGTATCTGCAAGTGGACATTTGGAGCGCTTTGAGGCCTATGGTGAAAAAGGAAATATCTTCCCTTAAAAACTAGACAGAAGAGTTGTCAGAAACTAGTTTGTGATCTGTGGACTCAACTAACAGAGTTGAACCTTTCTTTCGATAGAGCAGTTTTGAAACACTCCTTTTGTAGAGTCTGCCTGTGGGTATTTGGATAGGTTTGAGGATTTCGTTGGAAACGGGAATATCCTCATATAAAATCTAGACAGAAGCATTCTCCGAAACTTCTTAGTGATGTTTGCATTCAAGTCACAGAGTTGAACATTCCATTTCATAGCGCTGGTTTGAAACAGTCTTTTTGTAGGATGTCCAAGTGGATATTTGGATAGCTTTGACGATTTCGATGGAAATGGGAATATCTTCATATAAAATCTAGGCAGAAGCATTGTGAGAAACATCTTTGTGATGTTTGCATTCAAGTCACAGAGTTGAACATTCCCTTTCATAGAGCAGGTTTGAAACACTTTTTGTAGTATCTGGAAGTGGACATTTTGAGTGCTTTGAGGCCTATGGTGAAAATGGAAATATCTTCCCATAAAAAATAGACAGAAGAATCCTCAGAAACTAGTTTGTGATGTGTGTCCTCAACTAACAGAGTTGAACCTTTCTTTTGATAGAGGAGTTTTCAAACACTCTTTTTGTAGAAACTGCAAGTGGATATTTGGATAGCTTTGAGGATTTCTTTGTAAACGGGAATATCTTCATATAAAATCTAGACAGAAGCATTCTGAGAAATTTCTTAGTGATGTTTGCATTCAAGTCACAGAGATGAACATTCCATTTCATAGAGCTGGTTTGAAACAGTCTTTTTGTAGGATCTCCAAGTGGATATTTGGATACCGTTGACGATTTTGATGGAAATGGGAATATCTTCATATAAAATCTAGACAGAAGCATTGTGAGAAACATCTTTGTGATGTTTGCATTCAAGTCACAGAGTTTAACATTCCCTTTCATAGAGCAGGTTTGAAACACTCTTTTTTTTTAGTATCTGGAAGTGGACATTTTGAGCACTTTGAAGCCTATGGTGAAAATGGAAATATCTTCCCATAAAAACTAGACAGAAGAATCCTCAGAAACTAGTTTGTGATGTGTGTACTCAACTAACAGAGTTGAACCTTTCTTTTGATAGAGCAGTTTTCAAACACTCTTTTTGTAGAAACTGCAAGTGGATATTTGGATAGCTTTGAGGATTTCGTTGGAAACGGGATTATCTTCATATAAAATCTAGATAGAAGCATTCTCAGAAACTTCTAAGTGATGTTTGCATTCAAGTCACAGGGTTGAGCATTCCATTTCATAGAGCTGGTTAGAAACAGTCTTTTTGTAGAATCTGCAAGTGGATATTTGGATAGCTTTAAAGATTTCGTTGCAAACGGGAATATGTTCATATAAAATCTAGACAGAAGCATTCTGAGAAATATCTTTGTGATGTTTGCATTCAAGTCACAGAGTTGAACATTCCCTTTCATAGAGCAGGTTTGAAACACTCTTTTTGTAGTATCTGGAAATGGACATTTTGAGCGCTTTCAAATGTCTACTTGCAGATTCTACAAAAAGAGTTTTTCAAAACTGCTCTATCAAAAGAAAGGTTCAACTGTGTGGGTTGAATGCACACATCACAAAGAAATTCCTGGAATGCTTCTGTCTAGTTTTAATGTGAAGCTATTCCCGTATCCAACGAAGGCCTCAAAGCAGTCCACATATCCACTTGCAGAGTCTGCAAAAAGAGTGTTTCAAAACTGCTGTATTAAAAGAAATGTTCAATTCTGAGAGTTGAATGCACACATCACAAGGAAGTTTCTGAGAATGCTGTTGTCTAGTATTTATGTGAAGATATTCCTTTTCCAACGAAGGCCTCTACATGTTCCAAATATCCACTTGCAGATTCTCCTGAAAGAGTGTTTCAAAAATTCCCTATGATAAAGTATGTCCAACTCTGTGAGTTGAATGCAAACATTACAAAGAAGTTTCTGAGAATGCTTCTTTCTAATTTTTAAGTGAAGATATTCCCTTTTCCACCATAGGCCCCAAAGGTCTCCAAATGTCCACATTCAGATTCTGCAAAAAGAGTGTTTCAAACTTGCTCTATCAAAAGAAAGGTTCAGCTCTGTGAGTTGAATGCACAGATCACAAAGAAGTTTCAGAGAATGCTTCTCTCCAATTTTTATGACATGATATTCCCATTTCCAAATAACGCCTCAAAGCGTTGTCCAAATATCCACTTGAAGATTCTACACGAAGAGTGTTTCAAATCTTCTCTATCACAAGAAAAGTTCAACTCTAAGAGTTGAATGTACGCATCACAAAGAAGTTTCTGAGAGTGCTGCTTTCTAGTTTTTATGTGAAGATATTCCCGTTTCCAAAGAAGGCCTCAAAGATTTCCAAATATCCACTTGCAGATTCTACTAAAAGATTGTTTAAAAACTGCTCTATCATAAGGTATGTTCAAGTCTGTGAGTTGAAGGCAGACATCACAAAGAAGTTTCTGAGAATGCCTCTGTCTAGTTTTTATGGGTAGATATTTCCTTTTCCACCATAGACCTTAAAGCGCTCCAAATGTCCACTTGCAGATTCGACAAAAAGAATTTTTCAAACCTGTTCTAAAAAAAGAAGTGTTCAGCTCTGTGAGTTGAATGCACACAGCACAAAGAAGTTTCTGAGAAAGCTTCTGTCTAGCGATTATGTGAAGATATTCCCGTTTCCAATGAAGGCCTCAAAGCTTTCCAAATATCCATTTGCAAGTTCTACCAAAAGAGTATTTCAAAACTGCAGTATGATAAAGTATGTTCAACTCTATGAGTTGAAGGAAAACATCACAAAGAACATTCTGAGAATGCTTCTCTCTAGTTTTTATGGGAAGATATTTCCTTTTCCACCATAAACCTCAAAGCGTTCCAAATGTCCATTTGCCGATGCTAGAAAAAGAGTGTTTCCAAACTGCTCTATCAAAAGAAAGGTTCAACTCTGTGAATTGAATGCACACATCACAAAGAAGTTTCTGAGAATGCTCTGTCTAGTTTTTATGAGAAGATATTCCCGTTTCCAATGATGGCCTCAAAGCTCTCCAAATGTGCACTTGCAGATTCTTCAAAAAGTGTGTTTCAAAACTGCTCTATCAAAAGAAAAGTTCAACTTTGTGAGTTGAATGCCCACATCACAAACAAGTTTCTTAGGATGTTTCTGTCTAGTGTTTATGTGAAGATATTCCCGTTTCCAGTGAAGGCCTCAAAGAAGTCCAAATATACAATTGCAGATTCTACAAAAAGAGCTTTTCAAAACTGCTCTATGAAAATTTATGTTCTACTCTTTGAGATGAATGCAAACATCACAAAAAAGTTTCTGAGAATTCTTCTGTCTCATTTTTATATAAAAATATTTCCTTTTCCACCATTGGCCTCAAACCTCTCCAAATGTCCAAATACAGATTCTACAAAAAGAGTGTATAAAACCTGCTCTATCAAAAGAAGGGATCAACTCTGTGAGATAAATGAATATATCACAAAGAAGTTTCTGAGAATGATTCTGTCTAGTGTTTATGTGAAGATATTCCCGTCTCCAATGAAGGCCTCAAAGTGGTCCAAATATGCACTTGCAGACCCTAAAAAAAGAGTGATTCAAAACTGCTCTATCAAAAGAAAGGTTCAACTTTGTGAGTTGAATTTACACATCACAAAGAAGTTTCTGAGAATGCTGCTATCTACTTTTTATGTGAAGATATTCCCGTTTCCAAAGAAGGCCTCAAACAGTTTGAAATATCCACTTGCAGATTCTACTAAAAGATTGTTTCAAAACTGCTCTCATAAGGAATGTTCAACTCTGTGAGTTGAAAGCAAACATCACAAAGAAGTTTCTGAGAATGCTTCTGTCTAGTATTTATATGAAGATATTCCCATTTCCAATGAAGGCCCCAAAGCATTCCAAGTCTCCACTTGCAGATTCTACTAAAAGAGTGTTTCCAAATTGCTCTATGATAAGGTAGGTTCAACTCCGTGAGTTGAATGCAAACATCACAAAGAAGTTTCTGAGAATGCTTCTGTCTAGTTTTCATGTGAAGATATTTTCTTTTCCACCATAGGCCTTAAATCACTCCAAATGTCCAATTGCAGATTCTACAAAAAGAGTGTGTCAAACCTGCTCTATCAAAAAAAGGTTCAACTCTCTGAGTTTAATGCACACAGCATGAAGAAGTTTCTGAGAAAGCTTCTGCCTTTTGATTATGTGAAGTTATTACCGTTTCCAAAGAAGGCCTCAAAGCGTTCCAAATATCTGCTTGCAGATTCTACTAAAAGAGTGCTTCAAACCTGCTCTATCAAATGAAAGGTTGAGCTCCGTGAGTTGAATGCACACATCACAAAGAAGTTTCGGAGAATGCTTTGTCTAGATTTTATGTGAATATATTTCTTTTCCACCATAGGCTTCAAACCTCTCCAAATGTCCACATACAGATTCTACAAAAAGAGTGTTTCAAAACTGCTCTATCAAAAGAAAGGTTCAACTCTGTGGGTTGAATGCACACATCACAAAGAAGTTTCTGGGAATGCTTCTGTCTAGTTTTTATGTGAAGCTATTCCCGTATCCAACGAAGGCCTCAAGGCAGTCCACATATCCACTTGCAGATCCTGCAAAAAGAGTGTTTCAAAACTGCTCTATCAAAGGAAATGTTCAATTCTGTGAGTTGAATGTTCACATCACAAAGAAGTTTCTGAGAATGCTGCTGTCTAGTATTTATGTGAAAATATTCCCGTTTCCAACGAAGGCCTCTACACGTTCCAAATATCCACTTGCAGATTATCCTGAGAGTGTTTCAAAAATGCCCTATAACAAAGTATGTCCAACTCTGTGAGTTGAATGCAAACATCACAAAGAAGTTTCTGAGATTGCTTCTGTCTAGTTTTTATGGGAAGATATTTCCTTTTCCACCATAGGCCTCAAAGCTCTCCAAATGTCCACATGCAGATTCTGCGAAAATAGTGTTGCTAACCTGCTCTATCAAAAGAAAGGTTCAGCTCTGTGAGTTGAATGCACACATCGCAAAGAAGTTTCTGAGAATGCTTCTCTCCAGTATTTTGTGAAGATATTTCCTTTTCCACCATAGGCTTCAAAGCTCTCCAAATATCCACTTGTGGATTCTACAACAAGAGTGTTTCAAATCTGCTCTATCAAAAGAAAAGTTCAACTCTGTGAGTTGAATGCGCACATCACAAAGATGTTTCTGAGAATGATTATGTCTAGTGTTCATGTGAAGATATTCCCGTTTCCAATGAAGTCCTCAAAGCTGTCTAAATATCCACTTGCAGATTCTACAAAAAGAGTATTTCAAAACTGCTCTATCAAAAGAAAGGTTCAACTCTGTGGTTGAATGTACTCATGACAAACAAGTTTCTGAGAATTCTGTTGTCTAATTTTTATGTGGATATATTAACGTTTCCAAGAAGGCCTCAAAGCTTTCCAATTATCCTCTTGCAGATTCTACTAAAAGACTGTATGAAAACTGCTCTATGATAAGGTATGTTCAGCTCTGTGAGTTGAAAGCATACTTCCCAGAGAAGTTTCTGAGAATGCTTCTTTCTAGTGTTAGTGTGAAAATAATCCCGTTTCCAACAAAGGCCACAAAGCTGTCCAAATATCCACTTGCAGATACTACAAAAATAGTGTTTCAAATCTGCTCTATCATATGATATGTTCAGCTCTGTGAGTTGAAGGCAAACATCACAAAGAAGTTTTTGAGAACTCTTCTGTCTCGTTTTTATATAAAGATATTTCCTTTTGCACCATAGGCCTCAAAGCTTTCCAAATGTCCACTTGCAGATTCTACAAAAAGAGTGTTTCAAACTGCTCTATCAAAAGAAAGTTTCACCTCTGTGGTTGAATGAACACATCACAAAGAAGTTTCTCAGAATGCTGCTGTTTAGTTTTTATATGAAGATATTCCCATTTCCAATGAAGGCCTTAAAGCGTTCGAAATATCCACTTTCAGATTCTACTAAAAGAGTGTTTCAAAACTGCTCTATGATAAGGTATGTTCAACTCTGTGAGATGAATGCACACATCACAAAGGATTTTCTGACAATCCTTCTGTGCAGTGTTTATGTGAAGATACTCCCGTTTCCAAAGAAGGCCTCAAAGCAGTTTAAATATCCACTTGAGATTCTACGAAAAGAGCGTTACAAAACTTCTCTATGAAAACGAAGGTTCAACTCTTTGAATTGAATGCAAACATCACCTAGAAGTTTCTGAGAATGCTTCTGTCTAGTTTTTATGGGACGATATTTCCTTTTCCACCTTAGGCCTCAAAGCGCTCCAAATATCCACTTGCGGACTCTACAAAAGGAGTGTTTCAAACCTCCACTATCAAAAGAAAGGTGCAACTCTGTGGGTTGAATGCACACAGCACAAAGAAGTTTCTGAGAAAGCTTCTGTCTAGTGATTATGTGAAGATATTCCCGTTTCCAATGATTGCCTCAAAGCGGTCAAAATATCCACTTGCAGATTCTTCTAAAAGAGTGTTTCAAAACTGCTCTATGAAAAAGTACGTTCAACTCTGTGAGGTGAATACAAACATCACAAAGAAGTTTCTGAGAATGCTTCTGTCTAGTTTTTATATGAAGATATTTCCTTTTCCACCATAGGCTTCAAAGCACTGCAAATGTCCACTTGCAGATTCTACAAAAACAGTGCTTCAAACCTGCTCTATCAAAAGAAAGGTCCAACTCTGTGGGTTTAATGCACACATCACAAAGAAGTTTCTCAGAATGTTTCTCTCTCGTGTTTATGTGAAGATATTTCTGTTTCCTACGAAGGCCTCAAAGCTCTCCAAATATCCACTTGCAGATTCTACGAAATGTGTGTTTCAAATCTGCTCTGTGAAAAGGAAGGTGAACTCTTTGAGTTGAATGCAAACATCACAAAGAAGTTTCTGAGAATGCTTCTGTCTAGTTTTTATGTTAAGAAATTTCATTTCCCAACATAGGCCTCAGAGCGCTCCAAATGTACACTTGCAGATTCTACAAAATAAGTGTTTCAAACCTGCTCTATCAAAAGAAAGCTTCAACTCTGTGCGTTTAATGCACACATCAAAAAGAAGTTTCTGAGAATGCTTCTGCCTGTTTTTATGTGAAGAAATTCCCATTTACAAAGAAGGCCTCAAAGCCTTCCAATTATCCAATTGCAGATACTACTAAAAGAGTGTTTCAAAACTGCTCTATGTTAAGGTATGGTCAACTCTGTGAGTTGAATGCACACATCAAAAAGCAGTTTCTGAGAATGCTTCTGTCTAGTGTTTATGTGATGATACTCCCGTTTCCAACGATGGCCTCAAAGTTGTCCAAATATCCCCTTGCAGATTCCTCTATAAGAGTGCTTCAAAACTACTCTATGATAAGGTATGTTCAAATCTGTGAGTTGAATGCACACATCACAAAGTAGTTCCTGAGAATGCTTCTGTCTAGTATTTACCTGAAGCTATTCCCTTTTCCAATGAAGGCCTCAAAGAGGTCCAAATTTCCACTTGCAGATTCTACTAAAACAGTATTTCAAAACTGCTCTATGATAAAGTCTGTTCAACTCCGTGAGTTGAATGTACACATCACAAAGCAGTTTCTCAGAATGTTTCTGTCTAATTTTTATGTTAAAGTATTTTCTTTTCAACTTTAGGCCTCAAAGCGATCAAAATGTCCACTTGTAGTTTCTGCAAAAGAGTGTTTCAAACCTTCTCTATCAAAATAAAGGTTAAACTCTGTGAGTTTAATGCACACATCACAAAGAAGTTTCCGAGAATGCTTTGGTCTAGTTTTTATGTGAAGATACTCGCCTTTCCAACAAAGGCCTGAAAGCGGTTCAATTACCCACATGCAGACACTACTAAAAGAGTGTTTCAAAACTGCTCTGTGATAAAGTTTGTTCAACTCTGAGAGTTGAATGCAAACGTCACAAAGAAGTTTCTGAGAATGCTTCTATGTAGTTTTTATGAGAAGATATTTCATTTTCCACCATTGGAATAGAAGCGCTCCAAATGTCCACTGCAGATCCTGCAAAAAGTGTGTTTCAAACCTGCTCTATGAAAAGGAAGGTTCAACTCGGTGAGTTAAGTGCACACATCACAAAGAAGTTTCTGAGAATGCTTCTGTCTAGTTTTTGTGTGAAGATATTCCCTTTTCCACCATACGCCTCAAAGCTCTCCAAACGCACACATGCAGATTCTGCAAAAAGAGTGTTTCAAACGTGCTTTCTCAAAATGAAAGTTCAAGTCTGTGATTGAATGCACACATCACAAAGCAGTTTCGGAGAATGCTGCTGTCTAGTTTTAATGTGAAGGTATTCCTGTTTCTAACGAAGGCCTCAAATCGGTCCAAATATCCACTTGCAGATTCTACAAAAAGAGTGTTTCAAAACTGCTCTATGATAAGGAATGTTCAACACTGTGAGTTGAATGCAAGCATCACAAAGAAGTTTCATAGAATGCTTCTGTTTAGTTTTTATGAGAAGATATTTAATTTTCCACTATAGGCCTCAAAGCACCCCAAGTGTCCATTGCAGATTCTGCAAAAAGAGTGTTTCAAACATGCTCTATCAAAAGAAAGTTTCAACTCTTTGAGTTGAATGCACACATCACAAAGAAGTTTCTGAGAATGCTTCTATCTAGTGTTTATGTGAAGATATTCCCGTTTCCAACGAAGGCCTCAAAGTGGTTCAAATATCCACTTGCAGATTCTACAAAAAGAGTGTTTCAAACCTGCTTTATTAAAGGAAAGCTTCAACTCTGTGAGTTGAATGGACACATCACAAAGAAGTTTCTGAGAATGCTTCTATCTAGTGTTTATTTGCAGATATTCCCGTTTCCAATGAAGGATTCAAAGCGTTCCAAATATCCACTTGCAGATTCTGCAAAAAGAGTGCTTCAAAACTGCTCTATGAAGAGGTATGTACAACCCTGTGATTTGAAAGCAAACATCACAAAGTAGTTCCTTAGAATTCTTCTGTCTGGTTTTTATATAATGATACTTCCTTTCCCACCATAGGCCTCAAAGCTCGCTTTATGTCCACTTGAAGCTTCTACAAAAAGAGGGTTTCAAACCTGCTGTATGAAAAGAAAGGTTCAACTCTGTGAGTTGAATGCACACATCATAAAGAAGGTCCTGAGAATGCTTCTGTCTAGTGTTTATGTGAAGATAATCCCGTTTCCAATGAAGGCCTCAAAGCAGTGCAAATATCCACTTGCAGATTCTACTAAAAGAGTGTTTCAAAAGTGCTCTATGATAAGGTATGTTCAAATCTGTGAAATGAATGCACACATCATAAGAAATTTCTGAGAATGCTTCTGTCTAGTTTTTATAGGAAGATATTTCCTTTTCCACCATAGGCCTCAAAGCGCTCCAAATGTCCACTTGCAGATTCTACTAAAAGAGTGTTTCAAACCTGCTCTATGAAAAGAAAGGTTCAAATCTGTGAGTTGAATGCACACAGTACAAAAAAGTTTTTGAGAAAGCTTCTGTCTAGTGATTATGTGAAGATATTCCCGTTTCCAATGAAGGCCTCAAAGCAGTGCAAATATCCACTTGCAGATTCTACTAAAAGAGTGTTTCAAAAGTGCTCTATGAAAAAGTGTGTTCAACTCTATGAGTTGAATGCAAACATCACAATGTAGTTCCTTAGAATTCTTCTGTCTGGTTTTCATTTAAAGATATTTCCTTTTCCACCATAGGCCTCATAGCTCTAAAAATGTCCAGTGCCGATTATACAAAAAGAGTGTTTCAAACCTGCTCTATCAAAAGAATGATTCAACTCTGTGACTTGAACGCACACATCACAAAGAAGTTTCACAGAGTGCTTTTGTCTAGTGTTTATGTGAAGATATTCCCGTTTCCAACGAAGGCCTCGAAGTGGTCCAAATATACATTTCCAGATTCTACAAAAAGAGTGTTTCAAAACTGCTCTATCAAAAGAAAGGTTCAACTCTGTGAGTAGAATGCACGCATTACAAAGAAGTTTCTGAGAATGCTTCTCTCTAGTTTTTATGTGAAGATATTTACTTTTCCACCATAGGCCTCAATGCTCTCCAAATGTCCATTGCAGATTCTACAAAAAGAGTGTTTCAAACATGCTCTATCAAAAGAAAGTTTCAACTCTTTGAGTTGAATGCACACATCACAAAGAAGTTTCTGAGAATGCTTCTGCCTGTTTTTATGTAAACATATTCCCGTTTCCAACAAAGGCCTCAAGCATTCCAAATATCCACTTGCATATTCTACGAAAAGAGTGTTTCAAAACTCCTCTATGAAAAGGTATCTTCAACTCTGTGAGTTGAATGCAAACATCACAAAGAATTTTCTGAGAATTCTTTTGTCTAATATTTATATGAAGGTATAACCTTTTCCACCATAGGCCTCAAAGCTCTCCAAATGTCAACTTGCAGATTGTACAAAAAGGGTGTTTCAAAGCTGCTCTATCAAAAGAAAGGTTCAACTCTTTGAGTTTAATGCATGCATGACAAAGAAGTTTTTGAGAATGCTTCTGTCTAGTGTTTATGTGAAGATATTCCCGTTTCCAACGAAGGCCTCATTGTGGTCCAAATATCCACTTGCAGATTCTATAAAAAGAGTGCCTCAAAACTGCTCCATGGAAAGGTATCTTTAACTCTGTGAGTTGAATGCAAACATCACAAAGACGTTTCTGAGAATGATTCTGTCTAGTTTTTGTGTGAAGATATTTCCTTTTCCACCATAAGCCTCAAAGCTCTCCAAATGTCCACTTGCAGATTCTACAAAAAGAGTGTTTCATACCTGCTCTATGAAAAGAGAGGTTCAACTCTGTGAGTTGAATGCACACATCACAAAGAAGTTTCTGAGAACGCTTCTCTCTAGTTTTTATGTGAAGATACTTCCTTTTCCACCACAGGCTTCAAAGCTCTCCAAATGTCCATTTCAGATTCTACAAAATGAATGTTTCAAACCTGCTCTATCAAAAGAAAGGTTCAACTCTGTGAGTTGAACGCACACACCACAAATAAGTTTATGAGAATGCTTCTGTCTAGTTTTTATGTGACGATATATCCTTTTCCACCATAGGCCTCAAAGAGCTCCAAATGTCCACTTGCAGGTCCTGCAAAAAGAGTGTTTCAACCCTGCTCTATGAAAAGAAAGGTTCAACTCTGTGAGTAGAATGCACACATCACAAATTAGTTTCTGAGAATGCTTCTGTCTAGTTTTTATGTGAAGATATTCCCGTTTACAACGAAGGCCTCAAAGCGGTCCAAATATCCACTTGCAGATTCTATGAAAAGAGTGTTTCAAAACAGCTCTATGACAAGGGAGGTTCAGCTCTGTGAGTTGAATGCAAACATCACAAAGAAGTTTCTGACAATGCTTCTGTCTAGTTTTTATTTATAGATATTTCCTTTTCCACCATAGGCCTCAAAGCTCTCCAAATGTCTGCTTCCAAATTCTACCAAAAAAGTGTTTCAAACCTGCTATATCAAAAGACAGGTTCAATTCTGTGAGTGGAATGCACACATCACAAAGAAGTTTCTGAGAATGATTCTGCCTACTGTTTATGTGAAGATTTCCCCTTTTCCAGCAAAGG
This sequence comes from Homo sapiens, assembly GCF_000001405.40. Lineage (NCBI taxonomy): Eukaryota > Metazoa > Chordata > Mammalia > Primates > Hominidae > Homo > Homo sapiens. Next base: position 21,040 of record NT_187394.1, on the reverse strand, counting down.
CCTCAAAGCAGTCCAAATTTCCACTTGCAGATTCTAGAAAAAGTGTTTACAAACTGCTCCATGAAAAAGTATGTTCGAATCTGTGAGTTGAATAAAAACATCACAAAGAAGTTTCTGAGAATGTTTCTGTCTAATTTTTGTGTGAAGATATTTCTTTTTCCACCATAGGCCTCAAAGCTCTCCAAATGTACACTTGCAGATTCTACAAAAAGAGTATTTCAAAACTGCTGTATCAAAAGAAATGTTCAACTCTTTGTGTTGAATGAACACCTCACAATGTTGTTTCTGAGAATGCTTCTGTCTAGTTTTTATGAGAAGATAATTCCTTTTCCACCATAGGCCTCAAATCTCTCCAAATGTCCACTTGCAGATCCTACAAAAAGAGTGTTTCAAACCTGCTCTATTAAAAGAAAGGTTCAAATCTTTATTTTGAATACACACATCACAAAGAAGTTTCTGAGAATGTATCTGTCTAGTTTTTATGTGAAGATATTCCCGTTTCCAATGAAGGCCTCAAAGCGGTCCAAATATCCACTTGCAGATTCTACTAAAAGAGTGCTTCGAAACTGTTCTATGATAAAGTATGTTCAACTCAGTAAGTTGAATGCACACATCACAAAGAAGTTTCTGAGAATGCTTCTGTCTAGTTTTTATATGAAGATATTCGCTTTTAAAATGAAGGCCTCAAAGGAGTCCAAATATCCACTTGTAGAGTCTACAAAATGAGTGTTTCAAAACTGCTCTATGAAAACGGATTTTCAACTCTGTGAGTTGAATGCAAACATCACAAAGATGTTTCTGAGAATGGTTCTGTCTAGTTTTTATGTGACGATATTTCCTATTCCACCAGAGGCCTCAAAGCGTTCCAATTGTCGAGTTGCAGATTCTACAAAAAGAGTGTTTCATATCTGCTCTATGAAATAAAGTTAACTCTGTGAGTTGAATGCACACATCACAAAGAAGTTTCTGAGAATGCTTCTATCTAGTGTTTATTTGCAGATATTCCCGTTTCCAATGAAGGCTTCAAAGCGTTCCAAATATCCACTTGCAGATTCTGCAAAAAGAGTGCTTCAAAACTGCTCTATGATAAAGTATGTTCAAATCTGTGAGTTGAATGCAAACCTCACAAACTAGTTTCTGAGAATGCTTCTGTCTAGTTTTTATGTGAAGATATTCCCGTTTCCAATGAAGTCCTGAAATCTATTCAAATATCAACTTGCAGCTTATACATAAAGAGTGTTTCAAAACTGCTCCATTAAAAGTTATGTTCAACTCTGTGTGTTGAATGCAAACATCACAATGTAGTTTCTGAGAATGCTGCTGTCTACTTTTTATGTGATGATATTTCCTTTTGAACCATAGGCTTCAAAGCTCTCAAAATATCGAATTGCAGATCCTACAAAAAGAGTGTTTCAAACCTGCTCTATCAAAAGAAAGGTTAAACTCTGAGTTGAATGCACACATTACAAGGAGAGTCTGAGAATCCTTCTGTCTACTGTTTGTGTGGAGATATTCCCGTTTCCAACGAAAGCCTCAAAGCGGTCCAAATATCCACTTGCAGATTCTACAAAAAGAGTGTTTCAAAACTGCTCTAGGACAAGGTATGTTCAACTCTGTGTGTTGAATGCAACCACTGCAAAGAGTTTTCTGAGAATGCTTCTGTCTAGTTTTTATGTGAAGTTATTTCCTTTTCCACCATTGGCCTCCAAGCGCTGCAAATGTCCACTTGCAGATTCTACAAAAAGAGTGTTTCAAACCTACTCTATCAAAAGAAAGGTTCAACTCTCTGAGTTGAATGCACACATCACAAAGAAGTTTCTGAGAATGCTTCTGTCTAGTTTTTATGTAAAAATATTTCCATTTCCACAGTAGGCCTCAGTGTGTTCCAAATGTCCACTTGCAGATTATACAAAAACAGTGTCTCAAAACTGCTCTCTCAAAAAGAAGGTTCAACTCTGTGAATTGAATGCACACATCACAAAGAAGTTTCTGAGAATGCTTCTGTCTAGTGTTTATGTGAAGGTATTCCTGTTTCCACCGAAGGCCTCAAAGCATTCCAAATATCCAATTGCAGATTCTACAAAAAGTGTTTTTCAAAACTGTTCTGTCAAGAGAAATGGTGAACTCGGTGAGTTGAATGCACAAATCACAAAGAAGTTTCTGAGAATGCTTCTGTCTAGTTTTTGTGTGAAGATATTTCCTTTTCCAACATAGGCCTCAAAGCAGTCCAAATATCCACTTGCAGATAGTACAAAAATAGTGTTGCAAAACTGCTCTGTCTAAAGGAATGTTCAACTCTTGGAGTTGAATGCACACATCACAAAATAGTTTCTGTGAATGCTTCTATCTAGTTTCTATATGAACATATTTCCTTTTCTACCATAGGCCTCAAAGCGCTCCAAATATCCACCTGCAGATTCTACAAAAAGAGTGTTTCAAAACTGCTCTACCAAAAGGAAGTTTCAACTCTCTGAGTTTAATGCACACAGCACAAAGAAGTTTCTCTGAATATTTCTGTGTTGTTTTTATTTGAAGATATTTCCTTTTCCAACACAGAGTGCAAAGGGTTCCAAATATCCACTTGCAGTTTCTTCAAAAAGACAGATTATAAACTGCCCAATCAAAAGATAGGTTCATCTCTGTGAGTTGAATGCAACCATCACAAAGAAGTTTCTCTGAATGGTTCTGTGTAGTTTTATTTGAAGATAATTCCTTTTCCACTTGAGGGCACAAATAGCTCCAAATATCCACTTGTATATTCTACAAAACCAGAGATTCAAAACTGATCATTGAAAAGATAAGTTCATCTCAGTGATTTGAATGTACACATCACGCAGAAGTTTCTTAGAATGCTTCTGTGCAGTTTTTATTGAAGATATTTCCTTTTCCACCATAGGGTGCATAGGGTTCCAAATATCCTCTTGCAGATTCTAGAAAAAGAGAAACTCTAAACTGCTCAATCAACAGATAGGTTCAGCTCTGTAAGTTGAATTCCCACATCACAAAGAAGTTTCTCAGAATGCTTCTGAGTAGTTTCTATGTGAAGATGTTTCCTTTTCCACAATAGGCCTCAAAGTTCTCCAAATATCCACTTGCAGATTCTACAAAAACGGTGTTTCAAAACCGCTCAATAAAAAGAAAGTTTCAACTCTGTGAGATGAATGCACACATCACAAAGAAGTTTCTCAGAATGCTTCTGTGTTGTTTTTATGTGAAGATATTTCCTTACCACTATGGGCCTCAATGGGCTCCAAATATCCACTTCCATATTCTACAAAAAGAGTGTTTCAAAACTGTTCAATCGTGAGACAAATTCATTCCTGTGAGATGAATTCACACGTCACGAAGTAGTTTCTCAGAATGCTTCTGTGTAATTTTTATGTGAGGATATTTGCTTTTCCACAGTAGGCCTTAAAGGGCTCCAAATATCCACCTGCAGATTCTGCAAAAAGAGAGGTTCAAAACTGCTCAATAAAAAGATACGTTCAACTCTGTGAGTTGAATGCATACATCACAAAGAAGTTTGTTTGAATGCTTCTTTGTAGTTTTTATTTCAAGATATTTCCTTTTCCACCATAGGGCTCAAAGGGCTCCAAATATCCACTTGCAGATTCTACAAAAAGAGAGATTCAAAACTGCTCAATGAGAAGATAAGATCAACTCTGTGAGTTGAGTGCACGCCTCACAAAGAAATTTCTCAGAATGCTTCTGTGTAGCTTTTATGTGAAGATATTTCCTTTTCCACAACAGGCCTCAAAGCTCTCTAAACATCCACTTACAGATTCTGGAAAAAGAGAGATTCAAAACTGCGCCATCAAAAGATAGGTTCACCTCTGTAAGTTGAATGCACACGTCACAAAGAAGTTTCTCAGAATGCTTCTGTTAAGTTTTTCTGTGAACATATTTGATTTTCCACAGCAGGCCTCACAACGCTCCAAATATGCACTTGCAGATTGTGCAAAAAGAGAGATTCAAAACTGTTCAATCAAAAGATAGGTTCAACTCTGTGAGTTGAATGCATATATCACGAAGAAGTTTCTGAGAATGCTTCTGTGTAGTTTTTATTTGAAGTTATTTCCTTTTCCACAGTAGGCCTCGAAGGTCTCCAAATATCCACCTGCCGATTCTGCATAAAGAGAGATTCAAAACTGCTCAAACAAGAGATAAGTTCACCTCTGTGAGTTGAATGCATACATCACAAAGCAGTTTCTCTGAATGCTTCTATGTAGTTTTTATTTGAAGATATTTCCTTTTCCACCATAGGGCGCAAAGGGCTCCAAATGTGCACTTGCAGATTCTACAAAAAGAGAGATTCAAAACTGCGCAATGACAAGATATGTTCAACACTGTGGGTGGAATGCACACCTCACAAAATTTTCTCAGAATGTTTCTGTGTAGTTTTTATGTGAAGATATTTCCTTTTCCACATAAGGCTTCAAAGCTCACAAAACGTCCACTTGCAGATTCTACAGAGAGATTCAAAACTGCTCAATCAAAAGATAGGTTCAACTCTATGAGTTGACAGCACACATCACAAAGAAGTTTCTCAGAATCTTTATGTGTAGTTTTTATGTGAAGATATTTGATTTTGCACAGCAGGCCTCAAAAGGCTCCAAATATCCACTTGCAGATTCTGCAAAAAGAGGGATTCAAAACTGCTCAATCAAAAGATAGGTACAACCCTGTGAGTTGAATGCATACATCACAAAGAAGTTTCTCTGAATGGTTCTGGGTAGTTCTATTTGAAGATAATTCCTTTTCCACCATAGAGCGCAAAGGGCTCCAAATACCCACTTGCAGAATCTACAAAAACAGAGATTCAAAACTGCACATTGAGAAGATAAGTTCAACTCAGTGAGTTGAATGTGCACATCATGAGGAAGTTACTTAGAATGCTTCTGTGTAGTTTTTATTGAAGATATTTCCTTTTCCACCATAGGGTGGAAAGGGATCCAAATATCCACTTGCAGATTCTAGAAAAAGAGAGACTCTAAACTGCTCAATCAAAAGATAGGTTCAACTCTGTGAGTTGAATCCCCACATCACAAAGAAGTTTCTCAGAATGTTTCCGAGTAGTTTTTATGTGAAGATGTTTCCTTTTCCACAATAGGCCACAAAGTTCTCCAAATATCCACTCGCAGATTCTACAAAAACGGTGTTTCAAAACTGCACAATGAAAAGAAAGGTTCAACTCAGTGAGATGAATGCACACATCACAAAGAAGTTTCTCAGAATCCTTCTGTGTTGTTTTTATGTGAAGATATTTCCTTTCCACTATAGGCCTCAATGGGCTCCAAATATCCACTTCCATATTCTACAAAAATAGTGTTTCAAAACTGCTAAATCATGAGATAGATTCAACCCTGTGAGATGAATGCACACGCCACTAAGTAGTTTCTCAGAATGCTTCTGTGTAATTTTTATGTGAACATATTTGCTTTTCCACAGTAGGCCTCAAAGGGCTCCAAATATCCACCTGCAGATTTTGCAAAAAGAGAGATTCAAAACTGCACAATCAAAAGATACGTTCAACTCTGTGAGTTGAATGCATACATCACAAAGAAGTTTGAATGCTTCTTTGTAGTTTTTATTTCAAGATATTTCCTTTTGCACCACAGGGCTGAAAGGGCTCCAAATATCCACTTGCAGATTCTACAAAAAGAGAGATTCAAAACTGCTCAATGACAAGATAAGATCAATTCTGTGAGTTGAAAGCACAGCTCACAAAGAAGTTTCTCAGAATGTTTCTGTGTAGTTTTTATGTGAAGATATTTCCTTTTCCACAATAGGCCTCCAAGCTCTCCAAACATCCACATACAGATTCTGCAAAAAGAGAGATTCAAAACTGCTCAATCAAAAATTATGTTCAACTCTGTGACTTGAATGTACACATCACAAAGAAGTTTCTCTGAATCTTTCTGTGTAGTTTTTATGTGAACATATTTGATTTTCCACAGTAAGCCTCAAAGGGCTCCAAATATCCACCTGCAGATTCTGCCAAAAGAGGGATTCAAAACTGCTCAATAAAAAGATAGGATCAGCTCTGTGAGTTGAATGCATACATCACTAAGAAGTTTCTCTGAATGGTTCTGTGTAGTTTTATTTGCAGATATTTCCTTTTCCACAATAGGGTGAAAGGGCTCCAAACATCCACTTCCAGATTCTACAAAACATGAGAAGATAAATTCAACTCAGTCAGTTGAATGCACACATCACGAAGAAGTTTCTTAGAATGCTTCTGTGTAGTTTTTATTGAGGATATTTCCTTTTCAACCATAGGGTGCAAAGGGCTCCAACTATCCACTTGCAGATTCTACAACAAGGGAGACTCTAAATTGCTCAATCAAAAGACAGGTTCAACTCTGTGAGTTGAATGCCCACATCACAAAGAAGTTTCTCAGAGTGCTTCTGAGTAGTTTTTATGTGGAGATATTTCCTTTACCACAATAGGCCTCAAAGTTCTCCAAATATCCACTTGCAGATTCTACAAAAAGAGTGTTTCAAAACTGCTCAATCAAAAGAAAGGTTCAACTCTGTGAGATGAATGCACACATCACAAAGAAGTTTCTCAGAATGCTTCTGTGTAGTTTTTATGTGAAGCTATTTCCTTTTCCACAATAGGCCTCAAAGCTCTCCCAACATCCACTTGCAGATTCTGCAAAAAGAGAGATTCAAAACTGCTCAATTGAAAGACAGGTTCAACTCTGTGAGTTGAATGCACACATCACAAAGAAGTTTCTCGGAATGCTTCTCTGTAGTTTTTATGTGGACATATTTGATTTTCCACAGTAGGCCTCACAGCGCTCCAAATATCCACTTGCAGATTCTGCAAAAAGAGAGATTCAAAACTGTTCAATCAAAAGATAGGTTCAACTCTGTGAGTTGAACACATACATCACAAAGAAGTTTCTGA
>NT_187394.1:0-13807 GCF_000001405.40 Homo sapiens | reverse complement strand
CCACCATAGGCCGCAGAAGGCTCCAAATATCCACTTGCAGATTCAACTAAAAGAGTGTTTCAAAACTGCTCAATCAAAAGAAAGTTTCAACTCTGTGAGATGAATACACACATCACAAAAAGTTTCCCAGAATGCTTCTGTGTAGTTCTTATTTGACGGTATTTTGTTTTCCACTGTAGGCGTCAAAGCGCTCCAAATATCCACTTGCAGATCCTACAAAAAGAGTGTTTCAAAACTGCTCAATCATAAGCTAGGTTCAACCCTGTGAGATGAATGCACACATCATGAAGAAGTTTCTCAGAATGCTTCTGTGTAGTTTTTATGTGAAGATATTTGTTTTTCCACAGTAGGCCTCAAAGGGTTCCAAATATCCACGTGAAGATTCTGCCAAAAGAGAGATTCAAAACTGCTGATTCAAAAGATAGGTTCAACTCTGTGAGTTGAATGCATACATCACAAAGCAGTTTCTCTGAATGCTTTTGTGTAGTTTTTATCTGGAGATATTTCCTTTTCCACCATAGAGCGCAAAGGTCTCCAAATACGCACTTGGAGATTCTACCAAAAGATAAATTCAAAACTGCTCAATGAGAAGATAAGTTCAACTCTGTGAGTTGAATGCACACCTCACAAATAAGTTTCTGAGAATGCTTCTGTCTAGTTTTTATGTGAAGATAGTTGCTTTTCCACTGTTGGCCTCAAAGGGCTCGAAATATCCACCTTCAGATTGTGCAAAAGAGAGATTCAAAACTGCTCCATCAAAAGATAGGTTCAACTCTGTGAGTTGAATACACACATCACAAAGAAGTTTCTCCGAATGCTTCTGTGTAGTTTTTATTTCAAGATATTTCCTTTTCCACCATAGGGCACAAAGGTCTTCAAATATCCACTTGCAGATCCTACACAAAGAGAGATTGAAAACTCCTCAAAGAGAAGATAATTTCAACTCCGTGAGTTGAATGCACACCTCACAAAGTAGTTTCTCAGAATGCTTCTGTGTAGTTTTTATGTGAAGATATTTCCTTTTCCACAATAGGCCTAAAAGCTTTCCAAACATACACCTGTAGTTTCTGCAAAAAGATAGATTTAAAACTGCTCAATCAAAACGTAGTTTCAACTCTGTGAGTTGAATGCAAACATCACAATGGTATTTCTCAGAATGCTTCTGAGTAGTCTTTATGTGAAGGTATTTCCTTTTCCACAATAGGCCTCAAAGGGCTCCAAATATCCACTTGCAGATTCCACGAAGAGAGTGTTTCAAAACTGCTCAATCAAAAGAAAGTTTCAACTCTGTGAGATGAATGCACACATCACAAAGAAGTTTCTCAGATTGCTTCCTTCTAGATTTTATGTAAAGATATTTCCTTTTCTATCATAAGCCACAAAGCGCTCCAAATGTCCACTTGCGGATTCTACAAAAACGGTTTCCAAACTACGCAATCAAAAGAAAGGTTCAACTCTGTTAGATGACCGTACACATCATAAAAAAGATTCTCAGAATTCTTCTATCTGTTTTTTTGTGAAGATATTTCCTTTTACAACTTAAGCCTGAAGGTGCTTGAAATGTCCCCTTGCAGATTAGCCAAAAAGAGTATTTGAAAACTGGTTCTTCTAAAGAAAGATGGAACTCCAGGAAATGAATGCAGACATCACAGAGAACTTTCTCAGAATGCTTCTATCTACTTTTTATGTGAAGACATTCCCTTCTCCACCACAGTCCTCAAAGTGCTGCCAAATGTCCACTTGCAGGTTCTACAAAAAGAGAGTTTCCAATCTGCTCAATCAAAAGAAAGGTTTAACCCCGTGAGATTAATGCACGCATCACAAAGGAGTTTCTCAGATTGCTTCTGTCTAGATTTTGTGTGAAGATATTTCCTTTTCTACCATTGGCCACAAAGAGATCCAAATGTCCACTTGCAGATTCTACAAAACGAGTGTTTCCAAACTACTCAAAAAGAAACGTTCAACTCTGTGAGATGAATGCACTCATCACAAAGAAGTTTCACAGAATTCTTCTGTCTAACTTTTATGTGAAGATATTTCCTGTTCCACCATAGGCCTCATGACGCTCTAAATGTCCGCTTGCAGATTCTACAAAAAGAGAGTTTCAAAACTGCTCAATCAAAAGAAAGGGTTATCTCTGTGAGATGAATGCATATATCACAAACAAGTTTCTCATATTGCTTCTGTCTAGATTTTATGTGGAGATATTTACTTTTCTACCATAGACCACAAAGTGCTCCAAATGTCCACTTGCAGATTCTACAAGAAAGAGTGGTACCAAACTGCTCAATCAAAAGAATGGTTCCACTCTGTGAGAAGAATGCACACATCACAAAGAAGTTTGTCAGAATTCTTCTGTCTAGTTTTTATGTGAAGATATTTCCTTTTCCACCATAGGCCTCAAAGCATTCCAAATATCCACTTGTAGATTCTACAAAAAGAGAGTTTCAAAACTGCTGAATCAAAAGAAAGTTTAAACTCTGTGAGATGAATGTACCCATCACTAAGAAGTTTCTCTGATTGCTTCTCTCTAGATTTTATGTGAAGATATTTCTTTTTCAACCATAGGCCGCAAAGCGCTGCAAATGTCCACTTGCAGATTCTACAAAAAGAGTATTTCCAAACTGCTCAACCAAAAGAAAATTTCAGCTTTGTGAGATGTACATACACATGACAAAGAAGTTTATCAGAATTCTTCTGTCTAGTTTTCATGTGAAGATATTTCCTTTTCCACCATAGGCCTCTAAGCACTCCAAATGTCCACTTCGAGATTCTACAAAAAAAGTGTTTCCAAACTGCTCAATCAAAAGAAAGTTCAACTCTGTGAGATGAATGCCCACATCACAAAGAAGTTTCTCAGATGGCTTCTGTCTAGATTTTATGTGAAAATATTTCCTTTTCTACCATACGCCGCAAAGTTCTCCAAATGTCCACTTGCAGATTCTACAGAAAGAGTGTTTCCAAACTGTTCAATCAAAAGATAGGTTCAAATCTGTGAGATGAATGCACACGTCCGAAAGAAGTTTATCAGAATTCTTCTGTCCAGTTTTTATGTGCAGATATTTCCTTTTCCACTGTTGGCCTCAAAGAGCTCCAAATATCCACTTGCAGATTCTACAAATAGAGAGCTTCAAGACTGCTCAATCAAAAGAAACGTTTAACTCCATGAGAGGAATGCACACATCACACAGAAGTTTCTCAGATTGCTTCTGTCTAGACTTTATGTGAAGATATTTTCTTTCCTACTATAGGCCGCAAAGTGCTGCGAATGTGCACTTTCAGATTCTACAAAAGAGTGTTTCCAACTGGCTGTATCAAAAGAAAGTTTCAACTATGGGAGATGAAAGCACGCATCACAAAGAAGTTTCTCAGAATTCTTCTATCTAGTTTTTATGTGAAGAGATTTCCTTTTCCACCACAGGCCTAAAAGGGCTCCAAATGTCCACTTGCAGATACTACAAAAAGAGAGTTTCAAAACTGTTCAATAAAAAGAAAGGTTTAACTCTGTGAGATGAATGCACACATCACAAAGAAGTTTGTCAGACTGCTTCTGTCTGGATTTTATGTGAATATATTTCGTTTTCTACCATTGGCTGCAAAGTGCTCCAAATGTCCACTTGCAGATTCTACAAAAACAGTGTTTCCAAATGGCTCAATCAAAACAAAGGTTCAACTCTGTGAGATGAACGCATGCATCACAAAGTGATTTCACAGTATTCTTCTGTCTAGTTTTTATGTGAAGATATGTCCTTTTCCACCAAGGGCCTGAAAGAGCTCCAAATGCCCAATTTCAGATTCAACAAAAACAGAGATTCAGAACTACTCATTCAAAGGAAAGTTTTAACTCTGTGAGATAAATGCACACATCAAAAAGAAATTTTTCAGATTGCTTCTGTCTAGATTTAATGTGAAGATATTTCCTTTTCCACCATAGACCTCAAAGCGCTCCAAATATCCACTTGCAGATTCTACAAAAAGGGTGTTTCAAAACTGCTCCAATCAAAAGGAAGTTCTAACGCTGTGAGATGAATGCACACATCACAAATAAGTTTCTCAGATTGCTTCTGTCTAGATTTTATATGAAGATATTTCGTTTTCTACCATATGCCACAAAGTTCTCCAAATGTCCACTTGCAGATTCTACAAAAAGAGTGTTTGCAAACTGCTCAATCAAAAGAAAGGTTCAACTCTGTGAGATGAATGCACACGTCCCAAAGAAGTTTCTCAGAATTCTTCTGTCTAGTTTTTATGTGAAAATATTTCCTTTTCCACCATAGGCCACATAGCGCTCCAAATATCCACTTGCAGATTCTACAAAAAGAGTGTTTCAAAACTGCTCCAATCAAAAGGAAGTTTTAATGCTGTGAGATGAATGCACACGTCACAAAGGAGTTTCTCAGATTGCTTCTGTCTAGATTTTATGTGAAGATATTACCTTTTCTACCACAGGCCTTAAGCGATAAAAATGTCCACATGCAGATTCTAAAAAAGAATGTTTCCAAACTGCTCAATGAAAAGAAGACTTCAACTCTGTGAGATGAAAGCACACATCACAAAGAAGTTTCTCAGAATTCTTCTGTCTAGTTTTTATGTGAAGATAATTCCTTTTCCACCACAGGCCTCAAAGCGCTCCAAATGTCCACTTGCAGTTTCTACAAAAAGAGAGTTTGAAAACTGCTCAAACAGAAGAAAGTTTTAACCCTGTGAGATGAAAGGCCACATCACAAAGAAGTATCTCAGATTGCTTCTGTCTAGATTTTATGTGAAGACATTTCCTATTCTAACATAGGCTGCAAAGCGCTCTAAATATCCACTTGCAGATCCTTCAAAAACAGTATTTCCATACTGCTCAATGAAAAGAATGATTCAACACTGTATGATGAACGCAAGCATCACAAAGAAGTTTCTCAGAATTCTTCGGTCTGGTTTTTATGTGAAGATAATTGCCTTTTCCAACATAGGCTTCAAAGGCCTCCAAATGTCCACTTGCAGATTCTACAAAAAGAGAGTTTCAAAGCCGCTCAGTCAAAAAATGTTTAATTATGTGAGATAAATGCACATGTCACAAAGAAGTTTCTCAAATTGCTTCTTTCTAGATTTTATCTGAAGATATTTCCTTTTCCAGCATAGGCCTCAAAGTGCTCCAACTGTCCACTTGCAGATTCTACAAAAAGAGTGTTTCAAAACTGCTCAATCAAAAGAAAGGTTTACCTCTTTGAGATGAGTGCACACATAACAAAGGAGTTTCTCAGATTGCTTCTGTCTAGATTTTATGTGAAGATATTTCCTTTTCTACTATAGGCCACAAGGCATACAACATGTCCACTTGCAGATTCTAGAATTTTTCCAAACTGCTCAATCAAAAGAAAGGTTCAACTCTGTGAGATGAAAGGACACATCACAAAGAAGTTTCTCAGATTGCTTCTGTCTAGATTTTATATGAAGATATTTCTTTCTTCTAATATAGGCTACAAAGCGTTCCAAATGTCCACTTGCAGATTTTGCAAAAAGAGTGTTTCCAAACTGCTCAATCAAAAGAAAAGTTCAACTCTGTGAGATGAACGCACACATCACAAATACGTTTCTCAGAATTCTTCTGTCTTGTTATGTGAAGATATTTCCTTTTCCAACATAGGCCTCAAAGCCCTCCAAATGTCCACTTACAGATTTTACAAAACGTGAGTTTCAAAACTGCTCAATCAAAAGAAAGGTTTTACTGTGTGAGATGAATGCACACATCGTAAAGAAGTTTCTCAGATTGCTTCTTTCTAGATTTCATCTGAGGATATTTCCTTTTCCACCATGTGACTCAAAGTACTCCAAATGTCCACTTTCAGATTCTACAAAAAGAGAGTTTCGAAACTTCTCAATCAAAGGAAAGGGTTAACACTGTGAGATGAATGCACACATTTACAAAGAAGTTTCTCAGATTTCTTCTGTCTGGATTTAATGTGAAGATATTTCATTTTCTAAAATAGGCCACAAAGCGCTCCAAATGTCCACTTGCAGATTCTACAAAAAGAGCATTTCCAAAGTGTTCAATCAAAAGAAAGGTTCAACCCTGTTAGATGAATGCACACATGACAAGGCAGTTTCTCAGATTACTTCTGTCTAGATTTTATGTGAAGATATTCCTTTTTTCTACCATAGGCTGCAAAGAGTTCCAAATGTCCACTTGCAAATTCTAGAAAAAGAGTGTTTTCAAACTGCTACATCCAAACAAAAGTTCAACTCTGTGAGATGAATGCACACATCACAAAGACGTTTCTCAGAATTCTTCTGTCTAGTTTTTATATGAAGATATTTCCTTTTCCACCATAGGCCTCAAAGCGTTCCAAATGTTCACTTCCAGATTTAAAAGACAGAGTGTTTCCAAACCGGGTCAATCAAAAGAAAGGTTGAACTCTGTGAGATGAACACATGCATCAAAAAGAAGTTTCTCATAATGCTTCTGTCTAGTTTTTATGTGAAGATATTTCCTTTTCTACCATAGGCCACAAAGCGCTCCAAAGGTCCAATTGCAGATTCTACAAAAAGAGATTTTCAAAACTCCTCAACCAAAGAACATTTTAACTCTGTGAGGCGAATGCACACATCACAAAGAAGTTTCTCAGATTACTTCTGTCTAGATTTTATGTGAAGATATTTCCTTTTCTACCACAGGCCGCAAAGCTCTCCAAATGTCCACTTGCAGATTCAAGAAAAAGACTGTTTCCAAACTGCTCAAACAAAAGAAATTGTCAACTCTGTGAGATGAACGCATGCATCACAAAGAGGTTTCTCAGAATTCCTCTGTCTAGGTTTTATGTGAAGACATTTCCTTTTCCACCACAGACCTCAAGACACTGAAAATGTCCACTTGCAGATTCTACAAAGAGCTTATTTCAAAACTGGTCCTTCAAAAGAAAGGGTCAACTCGGGGAGATGAATGCACACATCACAAAGAAGTTTCTCAGAATACTTCTATTTAGGTTTTATGTGAAGATATTTCCGTTTATACCATAGGCCTCAAAGCTCGACAAATGTCCACTTACAGATTCTACAAAAGGACATTTTGAAAACTGCTCAATCAAAAGAAAAGTTTAACTCTGTAAGATGAAAGCACACATCACAAAGAAGTTTCTCAGAATTCTTCTGTTTAGTTTTTATGTGAAGATATTTTGTATTCAACGATAGGCCTCAAAGTGCTCCAAATGTCCGCTGGTAGATTTTAGAAAAAGAGTTTCCAAACTCCTCAATCAAAAGAAAGGTTCAACTCTGTGAGATGAATGCACACATCACAAAGAAGTTTCTAAGATTGCTTCTGTCTAGATTTTAGGTGAGGATATTTCCTTTTCTACCATAGGCTGCAAAGAGCTTCAAATGTCCACTTGCAGATACTACAAAAATAGTTTCCAAACAGCTCAAACAAATGAAAGTATCAACTCTGTGAGATGAACCCACACATCACAACTGCTTTCTCAGAATTCTTCTGTCTAGTTTTTTTTGTGAAGATAGTTCCTTTTCCACCATTGGCCTCAAAGCTCTCCAAATGTCCACTTGCAGATTCTACTAAAAGAGAATTTCAAAACTGCTAAATCAAAAGAAAGTTTTAACTCTGTGAGAAGAATGCACACATCACAAAGTCGTTTCTCAGATTGCTTCTGTCTAGATTTTATGTGAAGATACTACCTTCTCTACAATAGTCCCCAAAGCGCTCCAAATGTCCACATTCAGATTCTACTAAAAGTGTTTTTGCAACTGCTTTATAAAAATAAGGATTCAACTGTGTGAGATGAAGGCACACATCACAAAGGAGTTTCTCAGAATTCTTCTGTCTAGTTTTTATGTGAAGATACTTCCTTTTCCACCATAGGCCTCAAGTCGCTCCAAATGTCCACTTCCAGATTCTACAAAAAGAGTGTTTCCAAACTGCTCAATCAAAAGAAAGGTTTAACTCTGTGTGATGAATGTACACATCACAAAGAAGTTTCTCAAATTGCTTCTTTCTAGATTTTATGTGAAGATATTTCCTTTTCTACCATACCCGCAAAGTGCTCCAAATATCCACTTGCAGATTCTACAAAAAGAGAGTTTCAAAACTGTTCAATAAAAGAAATCTTTAACTCTGTGAGATGAATGAACACATCATGAAGAACTTTCTCAGATTGCTTCTTTCTAGATTTTAAGTGAAGATATTTCCTTTTCTACCACAGCCCGCAAATCACTCCAAATGTCCACTTGTAGATTCTACAAACAGAGTGTTTCCAAACTGCAGAATCAAAAGAAAGTTTCATCTCTGTGAGATGAACGCACACATCACAAAGAAGTTTCTCAGTATTCTTCAGTCTAGTTTTTCTGTGAAGATATTTCCTTTTCCACCATATGCCTCAAAGCGCTCCAAATGTCCACTTGCAGATTATACAAAAAGACAGTTTCAAAACTGCTCAGTCAAAAGAATGTTTAACTCTGTGAGATGAATGCACACATCACAAAGAAATTTCTCAGATTCCTTCTGTCTAGATTTTATGTGAAGATATTTCCTTTTCTACCATAGGCCGCAAAGAGCTCCAAATGTCCACTTGCAGAATCTACAAAAAGAGTTGTTTTCAAACTGGGCAATCAAAAGAAAGGTTCAACTCTGTGAGTTGAACACTCGCATCACAAAGAGGTTTCTAATAATTCTTCTGTCTAGTTTTTATGTGAAGATATTTCCTTTTCCACCATAGGTTGCAAAGCGCTCCAAATGTCCACTTGCAGATTCTACAGAAAGAGTGTTTCCAACAGCTCAATCAAAAGAAACGTTCAACTCTGTGAGATGAATGCACGCATCACAAAGAAGTTTCTCAGAATTATTCTGTCTAGTTTTTATGTGAAGATATTTCCTTTTCCACCATTGACCTCAAAGCACTGCAAATGTCTACTTGCAGATCCTATAAAAAGAGAGTTTCCAAACTGCTCAATCAAAAGAAAAGTTTAACTTTGTGAGATGAATGCACACAACACACAGAAGTTTCTGAGATTGCTTCTGTCTAGATTTTATATGAAGATATTTCCTGTTCTTCCATAGGCCACAAAGCCCTCCAAAGGTCCACTTGCAGATTCGACAAAAAGAGTGGTTGCAAACTGCTTAATCAAAAGGAAGGTTCAACTCTGTGAGATTAATGCACGCATAACAAAGAAGTTTCTCAGAATTCTTCTGTCTGGTTTTTATGGGAAGTTATTTCCTTTTCCACCATTGTACTCAAAGTGCTCCAAATGTCCACTTGCAGATTCTACAAAAAGAGAGTTTCAAGACTGCTCAATCAAAAGAAAGGTTTAACTCTGTCAGATGAATGCACACATCATAAAGAAGGTTTTCAGATTACTTCTGTCTACATCTTATGTGAAGATATTTCCTTTTCCACCATAGGCTGCAAAGAGCTCCAAATGTCCACTTAAAGATTCCTCAAAAAGAGTGTTTCCAAACTGCTCCATCAAAAGAAATGTTCAACTTCGTGAGCTGAACGCACACATCACAAAGAAGTTTGTCAGAATTCTTCTATCTAGTTTTTATGTGAAGATAATCCCTTTTCCACCATAGGCCTCAAAGCGTTCCAAATGTCCACTTTCAGATTCTACAAAAAGAGAGTTTCAAAACTGCTCAGTCAAAAGAAAGGTTTACTCTGTAAGATGAATGCACACGGCACAAAGAAGTTTGTCAGATTGCTTTTATCTAGATTTTATGTGAAGATATTTTCTTTTCTATCATAGGCCACAAAGCGCTCCAAATGTCCAGTTGCAAATTCTACAAAAAGAGTGTTTACAAACTGCTCAATCAAAAGTAAGGTTCAACTCTGTGATATGAACGCATACATCACAAAGTAGTTTCTCAGAATTCTGCTGTCTAGTTTGTATGTGAAGATATTTCCTTTTCCATCATAGGCCTCAAAGTGCTCCAAATGTCCACTTGCAGATTTTACAATAAGAGAGTTTCAAGACAACTCAATCAAAAGAAAGTTTTAACTCTGTGAGATGAATGCACACATCACAAAGAAGTTTCTCAGATTGATTCCATCTAGATTTTATGGGAATATATTTCTTTTCTAACATAGGCGGCAAAGCGCTCCAAATGTCCACTGGCAGATTCCACAAAAAGAGTGTTTCCAAACTGCTTAATCAAAAGAAAGGTTCAACTCTGTGAGATAAAAGCATGCATCACAAAGAAGCTTCTCCAAATTTTTCTGTGTAGTTTTGATATGAAAATATTTCCTTTTCCTCCACAGGCCTCAAAACGCTCCAAATGTTAACTTGCAGATTCTACAAAAAGAGAGATTCAAAACTGCTCAATCAAAATAAAGGCTTAACTCTGTGAGATGAATGCACACATCACAAAGAAGTTTCTAAGAATGCTTCTGTCTAGTTTTTATGTGAAGATATTTCCTTTTCCACCATTAGCCTCAAAGCGCTCCAAATGTCCACTTCCACATTCAACAAAAAGAGAGTTTCAAAACTGCTCAATCAAAAATAAGAGTTAACCCTGTGAGATGAATGCACACATCCCAAAGAAGTTTCTCAGTTTGCTTCTGTCTAGATTTTATGTGAAGATATTTCCTTTTCTAACTTAGGCTGCAAAACCCTTCAAAGTCCACGTACAGAATCTACAAAAAGAGTGCTTCCATAATTCTTAATCAAAAGAAAGGTTCAACTCTGTGAGATGAACGCACACATCACAAAGAAGTTTCTCAGAATTCTTCTCTCTAGTTTTTATGTGAAGATATTTCCTTTTCCACCATAGGCCTCAAAGCACTCCAAATGTCCACTTGCAGATTCTACAAAAAAAGAGTTTCAAAAGTGCTCAATCAAAAGAACGGTTTAACTCTGTGAGATGAATGCACACATCACAAAGAGGTTTCTCACATTGGTTCTGTCTAGATTTTATGTGAAGATATTTCCTTTTATAACGTAGGCCACAAAGCGCTCCTAATGTCCACTTGCAGATTCTACAAAAAGAGTGTCTGCAAACTGCTCAATCAAAAGAAGTTTCAACTCTATGAGAAGAACGCACACATCACAAAGAAGTTTCTCAGAATTCTTCTGTCTAGTTTTTATGTGAAGATATTTCTTTTCCCACTGTAGGCCTCAAAGCACTCAAAATGTCCACTTGCAGATTCTACAAAAAGACGGCTTCAAAACGACTCAACCAAAAGAAAGGTTTGACTCTGTGAGATGAATGCACACATCACAAAGAAGTTTCTGAGATTGCTTCTGTCTAGATTTTATGTGAAGATATTTCCTTTTCTACCATAGGCAACAAAGCACTCCAATAGTCTACTTGCAGATTCTACAAAAAGAATGTTTCTAAACTGCTCAATCAAAAGGAAGATTCAACTTTGTGAGATAAACGCATAAATCACAAAGGAGATTCTCAGAATTCTTCTGTCAAGTTTTTATGTGAAGATATTTCCTTTTCCATCATAGGCCTCAAAACGATCTAAATGTCCACTTGCAAATACTTCAAAAACAGAGTTTCAAAACTGCTCAGTCAAAAGAAAGTTTGAACTCTGTGAGATGAAAGCACACATCACAAAGAAGTTTCTCAGATTGCTTCTGTCTAGATTTTTTGTGAAGATATTACCTTTTCTACCATAGTCCCCATAGCGCTGCAAATGTCCACTTGCAGAATCTACAAAAAGGGTGTTTCAAAACTTCTCAATCAAAAGAAAGTTTCAACTCTTTGAGATGAAGGCACACATTACAAAGAAGATTCTAAGAATGCTTCTGTCTAGTTTTTATTGGAAGACATTTTCTTTTCCACGGTAGTGCTGAAAGCGCTCCAAATGTCCACTAGCAGATTATACGAAAAGAGTGTTTCAAGCCTGCTCTATCAAAAGAAAGGTTCAAATCTGTGAGTTGAATGCACACAGCACAAAGAAGTTTCTGAGAAAGCTTCTGTCTAGTGATTATGTGAAAATATTCCCGTTTCCAATGAAGGCTGGTAAGCAGTCCAAATATCCACTAGCAGATGCTACGAAAAGAGTGTTTCAAAACTGCTCTGTGATACAGTATGTCCAAATATGTGAGTTGAAAGCAAACATCACAAAGAAGTTTCTGAGAAATCTTCTGTCTAGTTTTTATGTGAAGATATTTCCTTCTCCACCATAGGCCTCAAGGCGTTCCAAATGTCCACTTGCAGATTCTACAAAAAGAGTGTTTCTAACCTGTTCTATCAAAAGAAAGGTTCAACTCTGTGAGTTGAATGCACACATCACATAGAAGTTTCTGAGAATGCTTCTGTCTAGTTTTCATGTGAAGATATTTCCTTTTCCACCATAAGCCTCAAAGTTCAGAAATGTCCACTTGCAGATTCTACAAAAAGAGTGTTTCAAAACTGCCCTATCAAAAGAAATGTACAACTCTGTGAGTTGAATGCACACATCAAAAAGAAGTTTCTGAGAATGTTTCTGTCTTGTTTTCATATGAAGATATTCCCGTTTCCAACGAATGCCTCAAAGCAGTCCAAATATCCACTAGCAGATTCTACAAAAAGAGCATTTCAAAACTGCTCTATGACAAATTATGTTCAACTCTGTGAGTAGTTGAATGCAAACATCACAAAGAAGTTTCTGAGAATGCTTCTGTCCAGTGTTTATCTGAAGATATTCCCGTTTCAAACGAAGACCTCAAAGCAGTACAAATATCCACTTGCAGATACTAAAAAAAGAGTGTTTCAAACCTGCTCTATCAAAAGAAAGGTTCAACTCTGTGAGTTGAAGGCACACATCACAAAGAAGTTTCTGAGAATGCTTCTGTCTAGTGTTTATGTGAAGATATTCCCGTTTCAAACGAAGGCCTCAAAGCAGTACAAATAACCACTTGCAGATACTATAAAAAGAGTGTTTCAAAACTGATCTATCAATAGAAAGTTTCAACTCTGTTAGTTGAATGTACACATCACAAAAAATTTCTTAGAATGCTACTGTCTAGTTTTTATGTGAAGATATTCCCGTTTCCATTGAAGGCCTCTAAGTGGTCCAAATATCTGCTTGCAGATTCTTCTAAAAGAGTTTTTCGGATGGAGGAGCCAAGATAGCCGAATAGGAACAGCTCCAGTCTACAGCTCCCACCATGAGCGATGCAGAAAATGGGTGACTTCTGCATTTCCATCTGAGGTACCGGGTTCATCTCACTAGGGAATGCCAGACAGTGGGCGCAGGTCAGTGGGTGCACTCACCATGTGCAAGCCGAAGCAGGGCGAGGCATTGCCTCATTTGGGAAGTGCAAGAGGTCAGGGAGTTCCCTTTCTGAGTCAAAGAAAGGGGTGACGGACGCACCTGGAAAATCGGGTCACTCCCACCCAAATATTGTGCTTTTTGGACCGGCTTAGAAAACGGCCCACCACGAGATTATATCCCGCACATGGCTAGGAGGGTCCTATGCCCACAGAGTCTAGCTGATTGCTAGCACAGCAGTCTGAGATCAAACTGCAAAGTGGCAGTGAGGCTGGGGGAGGGGCGCCTGCTATTGCCCAGGCTTGATTAGGCAAACAAAGCAGCCAGGAAGCTCCAACTGGGTGGAGCCCACCACAGCTCAAGGAGGCCTGCCTGCCTCTGTAGGCTCCACCTCTGGGGGCAGGGCACAGACAAACAAAAAGACAGCAGTAACCTCTGCAGACTTAAATGTCCCTGTCTGACAGCTTTGAAGAGAGCAGTGGTTCTCCCAGAATGCAGCTGGAGATCTGAGAACGGGCAGACTGCCTCCTCAAGTGGGTCCTTGACCCCTGACCCCCGAGCAGCCTAACTGGAAGGCACCCCCCAGCAGGGGCACACTGACACCTCACACGGCAGGG